>NC_000010.11:85597640-85749155 GCF_000001405.40 Homo sapiens
AAACTTCTGTGCCCATCTTTTTTGTTTTTTGTTTTTCCTGCAGACAGAATTTCTATTATCTTTTGAGCTCAGTGCTCAATGTCAAGTTCAGAGGTGAGACAATAAAGACAATAAATGCTGGCAGGGGAGGGATGATCAGACATTACAGACAATTGTCCCTTCCTCTTTTGTAGGAGGTGACTATTAGCTCACCTGATTTATCTGGAATAGGTTCACTTCTCTCATAAGTAATCTCCTCTGACTAAATACCACCACTGAGAGACAAAAAAAAAAAAAAAAAAAGACAATGATTAAAGTTATTGGCATAGAAGAGGGTTATTTATGTGCAGTTTCTTGGTACAAAGGGTGAGGA
Source organism: Homo sapiens (assembly GCF_000001405.40). NCBI lineage: Eukaryota > Metazoa > Chordata > Mammalia > Primates > Hominidae > Homo > Homo sapiens. The sequence continues at coordinate 85,597,993 of NC_000010.11, forward strand.
TAATAAGAATAAACAGTTTTATTAAAAACAACTAATGGCATAAAAGAATATTTTAGATACAAAAATGTTACATTAGGAACAGAAATGCTGCCTCTTTTATTGTGTCCACAGCAAGGAAAGGTCAGTTAAAATTGTCTGGAGCTTTTATCTCATTTACTTTTGCCAAGGCTAGGAGTACAAAACAAGGCTCTAGTTAAGACACAGATGCTAATTCATGAGCAGATACTTTTGGGAGTGAAAGTTTCCTGAAAACGAAGCTGGAGGCACTCAATTAAGTGACCCCTTCACCTTGGGAGCAGAAGGTCACATAGAGACCTGAGTTATCCGTTAGACCTTGCCCATCTCTGTTATTTAATAATATTTAAAATATGTTTAATATTTCAATTTTTTATATTTCTATCATCTATTATTAAATGGAATGACTTTTAAATGAAAACGCACAGGCCATAGACTGCGTCCCTCCATGTCCTCGTGGCCTTTAGGACCACTGGTCTTTTCTTCTTTAATGTGTCTGCTTCTCCTTTAGAACTTGAAAAGACAAACATTAGGTATGGAATTAGTTTTACCTTGGCACTATTCGGGGGATTTCTGATTTAGGAACTAGGCAGCTTCTTCTTAAGAAAACAGCCCTTTGTGGTTCCCTGCAGCTGCTCCTGTCCACCCATCTGCTCACAGAATCCAGCGGTGTCTGTTGCCCGCCCCTCAGCCCCAGTCTGAGGAGTGGCCCCAACGTGGAGAAGCCTGTCCTTGGTGCAGGGCAGAAGAACTAGGGCTGGGCATCCTCCTTTTGGTTTCTAGAAGAAGAAATTTTGATCATGTCAGACAGCCTCCTCAGATCAGCTTTACTGAGCTTGAGGCCGACAGCGGGGCTGTCCCCCACAAAGTCACTGAAGCCAGGGGACTTTTTCAGAGGTCGGCTGAAAAGCACACACATCTGGGGGTGGAAGATCAGGTTGATGGCTTGAGGCCTGTAGGATGACTGAGGGCATAAGATGTTCATTGGAGAAAGGTCTCCACAGATCCTGTAAGGGCCAAATTTTGAGAAGCCAAGCTGGGGGTCCAGCCAAGCTGTGCTCCACCAGGAATGACAGTCCCTTAGCTCTGAGACCTAAGCACAGGGAAGCAACTTATCTGAGGTCAGGGTGAGTGCAGAGATGAGAGTGGCAGCACAGTCAGCTGACAATTAAAGGGGTGTTCATTCCTCCAGGCCATGGGAGCACTTCTCTACGCATGATGATGACCCAGTTCTCTCCTAAGACACTTCCAAGAACGTAATATTTTAAAGAACACTGTTAGGTTAACCAAAAATTAGACTTGCTCCTCAGCCTGTCCCTCACACTGTCCCCTGGTTGGTTTCAGGGAACTCTGGATATGCACTGGGTGAGGAGGGCCTGCCCCCACCTCCAGGCATATCTGAGACCCCCTTGAGGAGAGGAGTTTTCCTCATGACTGTCCCTGCTGATAGCACAGAATTTACTTCATGATCTCAGCATGCCCAGAAACAAGCAGACAGTATTTCTTCACCCCAGAGAATAAGAGCATAGGGAGCAAAGACAAGATTTATTATTAAACAACTTTAATCCAAATGCTGATTATTATTTGCAGTGTCTGAAGGCACAAAATATACCTAAAATGTATGGAATAGTCTAAACAGAGTTATAAATCCAAAGAGCAAAGCATGAAAAAAAGATACATTCTGAGCTGACACAGAAATCTGAGTTGGGAAGTTTTTTTTTTTCCTAGAGAACTTGCTTGAATATCAATCATTTCCCCTCATGCCAAGGGTAGAAAATTCTAAAAAAAAAAAAAAATATATATATATATATATAAACATGGTGAAGAATAACACCATGAGGTGTTAAGGATTTTGTATAAGCAGAATACTTCTCTTGAAGATGCTGGTCTCTCTCTCTCTCTCTCTCTCTCTCACACACACACACACACACAAACACACACACACAGGCGCACAAACACATCCTCCATCTCCCTCTCTTTCCTCCTTGACACTCATTCTAAGCAGAACCATCCAAGAAGACATCCAAGCTATACCCCAGAAGACAGGCCATCTCAGGGGGCAATGAGGAAACAGAGTTGGTGTGAGATAAGGCAGTGAGACCAGAGTTTGATTAAAAAAATAGAGAGATATATATGTGAAAAATTGACCATTCAGGGCAGGGCCCCCAACGTGCTGATGGAAAACAAAGCCTGCTCTTCCTCGGGGTCATGGTAGCCCACCTAGGCTTCTCTGAGCATGCCTGGCTCCAAGGTCCACATGCTCTGATTGGAGAAATGTCAATGGATTGCCTAGGTAGCACGAATATCAGACCATTCTCAGCATCCAGCAATAAATAACATAATTATAAACACTCTCTTCCCCACAGTGCTTTTAGCTGACTGTGTGATTTGGCCGTTCTTTACTGCTCAATCATGTCACTAGGGACTTTAGGAAAGAAATCAATCCTGGGCTAGTTATCACCCTCATAAATACATCTCTCTAGAAACTCTACAAGGCTATAGAAGAAGCAATCAATAGGACTTTGTATTTCTCCATGATCACAGAACCAGGCTCTCAGCTCCCTGATTACTGCTGGCTGTGGGAGCTCCACCTCCTTCAGTGACAGATGTGGGCTGTGTATTCCATTCTGACGGGTCTGGAGATCAGACTAACCTTTGTCTTTAGGAGAGGAACTGAAGTGACACAACTCAGATTCCCCCAGTTCCACTCCTAATGGTTCTTTCCCTGATTCTGTAGTTTAGTTGCCTCAGAAAGGGCAACTGAAGGAGGGGGCGCTGTTAGGTGGTCCTAGGCTTAGAAAACTGGGCTTCCCTGCAGCTGTACCTGCACAGGGATAGGCCTGGAAATCTCAGAGGTTATCAGATGCCTGAGTGGGGAGGGCCCCTGCTCTGGGTTGGATTGCTGCTTGAAGAGGACTCCAGGTCTGGTCTGGAGAGGGTCGTAAAGGTGGAAGGGAGAGTTTGTGCTGGAGCCAGCCCTGTTTGTTGGACTGCCTGCAGGATTTATGACCCAGAGATAGGCCTTTACTTTTGGGGCTACAAGCAACTTCCCTGGTGGATGGGAGTTACACTTATGCTTCTCACCTAAGGCGCAAGGCAAGGCTTCCTCCTACCCAAATAAACATGGTCTCTTTTCTCTATTTCTCAGCATGCCCCATCACCTGGAGTACTGGTCCACCCACCTGGGCACCTCCCCCAACTCTTACTAACAGAGTCCGTTTGCCTGACACCACAAAGCTTCTACTCCCTGCATCTATGGCCTCACTTCCTTCTCTCACCTGGGACCATGGGTCCAAACCCAAGGGAATATTCTTCCTCTACCTGGCCTTTTGTTCCACCACCTCACCTGGTCCATGCAACTAACCCCACCTCGCAACTCCCTGCCCCCATGGACCTTCTTCCAGACCAACCCCACCTCCGCCCAGTCTCCCTGAGGAAACGATGGAGTCTGCCCTCCTTCCCCCAATATTCTATCACTTTTTGATTCTTCTAATTTTGAAAAGAAAATGAAAAACAAGGCCAACAGTATGATATGAGAACAGCTCAGTATCAAAGCCCTCAATTACCTCACTATGGGTAATTGTCAGCTTCTCTCGGGCCCATGGGGCAGAGGCACACTGCAACACACACAGCGGTGACTAACTCGTCCCGCAAGATCCAAGACAGGACAGGATAGCCCTGAGTCCAGGGCACCTCCTCAGCCCCAGGCTACCCAGAACAGCCGATCACCCTACAGCACAGCAACCCAGTGGGCCAGCCCAATGCGGGCTCCAAACTCACTCTTTATCAAGCTGAGGGACTAAAAGGGACGAGGTGCCAGGAGCAAAGAAATGGGGCAGCAAGCTGTGGGACAAGGCAGCGAGTGGCATGTGGGGTTCCTCGTCTTCCCTTCTCCCCCAGCAGAGAGGGGCTCCTTATCTGGTCGCCCCTCCTGCCCTCAGAAAGGCCCAGGAATGGGGGGGCTCCTTTGGCACTTCAGAATGATCACAAGTAATTTGCCTTTTTATTCATATAGAACAAAATTTACAAAGTCATTCATACAGTTTTTGTGTTTTTTTACTGACTTCGAAAATTGGGAATATTCAAAATACACTTTTACCCCACTCCATTCTGTCATTATTTACACATATGTACAAGAAAAATGAAAGAGTCTCTGTGTATGTGTGTGTGTGCGAGTGTGTGTGGTTTGTGTTGTTGTTTTCTTGTATTAAAAAGCTCTGCTGGTCGGGTGGGTGGGAGGGTGGGCAGGAGGGCAGGCGGCGCAGTCAGATGGAGGTCCCGTGGGAGGTGTCCAGAGCCTCTGGAAGGACGCCTCCAGGCACGGGCTGGAAGGACATGGGGATGGGGGTCTTCACCGGGCTCTGCCGGAACAGCCCCCCGTTGGGTGACCTGTGTTTGCACTGCATGGAGGGCATGGTCGCCGAGCTGCTCAGCGGCAGCGGCAGGTTGCTGCTGGGCCCTGATGAGAGTGTCCGGCTGGTGCCATGGCTGCTCTGCTCTGGCAGAAAGGTGCTGACCGAGAGCTGGGTGTTCTGGTACTCCCGTGTCGGCTCCAAGGTCTGGGTGGGAGCCAGGCCCCCCATCTCCAGGGCCGAGAGCTCAATCGACGCTGGGGAAATCTGCTTGTGAGCAATGTCTTCATCCATGAGGCTGTTCATGCGCCGGTGGACCTGCTCCAAGTTCACTTCTTTGTCCTGGAGGGAAGGCATAGGAAGGTCAGGTGGAGCCCTAACAGTGAGTCAAGGCTGGCTTGCTACAGCTCTGGATGTCTGTAGTCACCAGGCCTGGTCAGCCTGTTGGGCTGTGGGCGAGTATCCCTTTCATGTGGCTCCCACCTCCCCTCAATTATATGGCCAACCCTCAGTTATCTGGAGAAGCCAGGGGGGAGACATGATCCCTATGTAGCAAAGAAGATGCCATCAACAGGCCTTGGCTGCATCCTGCCTTGCCTCTGTACTCAGTTTAGAGTCACTGCCATACCCAGAACCAACCCTTAGGACAAGATGCTTTCAAGAGCAGGCAGAGACAGGAGAAGAAGTCCCACAGGAATAAAGGAAATAGTCCTTGAGCCCCTAAGGTGTCCCATGAATTTGCCACTTAGAGTTCAAGATGATGAAAAGACTTTGTATGATCATCCCCACCTTGCACAAAAGGAGGCTCAGGCTCAGGAAGGTTCAATGATTCATCAGAGTCACAGGACCATCAGTGTTAGAGGCAGCTTGGAGGCCTGGAGCCAGAGAGAAGCCCTGCCTCACCCAGTGACCTGTGTCCTCCCTGTGCAATCTCTTCAGGCAGCCCAAGGAGGGGGACATATCCCTGTCTGGAAGGGCAAGGGGGCGTGGGTTCCTGGGTGGAGATTGTGAGGAATGGGACTTCCCCAGGGTCAGCTGACCCTCCTGGTTTCATGAGGGTTCAAGGCTATCTAAGTGGGTGATCTCACACCTGATACTGTCTCACCACAGTGGGTGATATCACAGGAAATTACTTGGCTTGTTTATTTGCTTAAGAAAGAAAACAAAACAGAACAAATATTGTTCCTTTCAAATAACTTGATGATTTCCCTACAATGTCAGAATAATTAAAGGCAGACAAACTGCCTGAAAGCTCAAGGAAGACGTCATCTCCTTCCTTGGCTTCCCCGCTGTGAGGTGGGCACAGGACCTGGTGCTCAGCAGAGGAGCCATATGAGCTTCCCGGTGAGGTTGAGGCTGCAGGGACTTTGTAAGCAGCATGGGTGCTGATGCGCCAGGGAATGTGGTGACCTTTCCCTCACCTCAAACTCCTAGAGAAATACAGTCCCAAAGCTCAGCTCCCAGGCCACCCTGCAGGTGGTCTCATGTTGGCATCTTGTATTGGAGAAAGGAACCCATCCCCTGTCCACCTTGCAGGGGAGTTAGAAATATTAAGAAATGTAGAAGCCCTGAATATGCCTTCAGAAGGAAAAAGAAGGAATCACATGAATCTAAGAGCCATTCCAGTGACTGCTTTGAGCTTCTGTGGGGACAGTGGGAGAGGATTTCCACCCCCAGAAGTTCAACTGAATGATAGGCATGAGCCCTGACCAGATGAGTGCATGAATCACAGGGCTAACCCCCACAAAGGGTCAACTCAGTGTTCCTCAAGCAAGGAGGTGAAGTGCTCTGCAGTTCACTCCTTGCCTCAATGTCCCCTGGCATATAGAAGGTGGGACCACTGCTCTCTCCGCACCTTTATGAGTTCATGGTTGGCACACATGGTTTGGCTTCTGATGAGACACCTGCTGTCAGTCCTAGAATCTTTCCCAGGACAAGAAAACTGACAACACCCATAGGACAACTGACAAGTCATTCCAGGGCAGGAGGAAATCAAGACAGCCAACTAGTTTGAGAATAGAGGATGCTATGGGATGTGGCTCGCTGTCATAGGTGAAAATGACATCAGAAACCATTGGCACAGCCTCACAGGCACAGTCACAACTTCAGTGATCTGAAGCCCACCCACACAAGCAGAGCTCAGCTCATTCGTGCTGGGAGACCATCTCTGAGTTAGGGTCACCTCTGCATGGCAAGTGTCGTCGGGAAATTGTGGGAACTGGCTGGAGAATGCCAGGCTTCTACTTGTCCCAGCTAAATTATTCATGAAATGTTTATGCTGACTCCTTCAAAGGTTTGTAAAATATAGAGCAAACCAAATTCAAGTTATTTTCCTAATTACCTTACACCATGGTGGAGCCAGTTCTGTTCAACTTTGCTACTTTTTGTGTATTCTATTTTATTTGCTTTGTTTTCATTTTTGCATGTAAGACTACTTTAGGAATATTTTATAACCGTTATACAGTGTGTTAGTGGCTTAGCGCCACTCAGCATCAATGATCTTTTCCCAAGGAAGTCTATGGTTTATTGCTTTTAGGGAGTTACTATCCCCACCGGATAACAGTTTGACAGACTATCAAGAGACAGGTTACCTAACGAAGAGACAGGACCATGATCCAAATAAGGACAGTAAGACTGAAGCTGAATCCGGAACAAAGAGACAGAGAGACAGAAAGCAGCAGGTGCTTCATCTGCTGCAGCAGTGGGACTCTGCCAAACTTTCTTTTCCACAGCCATCCTCCTAGTGTTCTGGGCCTCCAGACAAGCCCTGACTCTTGCCCAGCATCAAGCCTGCATCTCTAGCATTCTTGGGGCTGCTATGAGCTCCTGTTAAACTGTGGATACAGTGTCATCTGTATTAGCCAGAATCAGTGCTACAATCGTTTTGGCGAATATTTGTATCTATAAGGCATGTTCATTTCAAAATGTATGAAGGGCACAAAACAAGTACCAGGGAGTCTGGAAGCTGAAGTAGTTGAGAAAGAAATTCAGGTACTTTTAGGGTTTAATAAGATAACCTTCTCTCTTCTTTGCAGCTAGCAAAGCTTGGAGAAGCCTGAACAAGCTGGTCACCCTCACTGTCAAAGACTTTCATTTCCACGGAAGGGAAACTGATGACCTGGGACCATTGGAAGAACTAGTTAGTAATTAATCAGTTGCATAATCTTCCCTTATCCTCTTTTCTAATTTCCCTTCAGGACTTTAAGGACCCCTTTGAAGATGAAAAGAAAGAAAGTTTGAGTGGACTCAATTAAAGTGGGAAGCAGGTGTCTAGGTTCCAGGGCTGCTCAACTCTGGATTCTGGCAGTTGATAGAGGGCCTGGCCTTTTTTCTCAGTCAATTGAGCACTAGCCCAGGGTGTTCAGGAGATGCTCCCATTTTGTTAGAGTTTGGAGAGAGGGAAAGCTTAACTTCCTGTCCAAGAAGAAAGCCACAGGGAGGTAGGAGGTTGGAAGTAAGGGACAAGGTGAAAGAACTCTCTCTATTTAATGCCAGGGAAACAAACATGGGAGCTTCGGGGAAGACAGACCAGCCAAAATTCTCTGAAGGAAGATGTAAGTGAGGGAAGTCTCTGAGCTGGATGACTTCACCACTGAAGTGCAAGTGAGAGAACACTGGAGCATGGTGGATTGTCAAGTGCCAAGCTGGAATAGTAAACGTGGTGGTGGGGAGTGGATCCGGTAATAATGGAGCATTTAGAATCAAGGCCAGCCCTCAGACTGAATGTGGAGATAACTAGTTCTCTGCCAGTCTATTATTTCTGAAGAAAGAGCTTGACTAAGTTTATTTTACTCACATTTTTTTTTGCTTGTCTCAAATCAAGTATGGATGAAGCAGTTCTAAGGACTGCAAAGCTGCGCAGCGGGAACCAACTCCCTACTGCAGTTATCATTCGCCTTTAAAGTCTCCGTGTCAAGACACACAGAAAGTGTCTACACCAAATGGACAAACGTTCCAGGGGGTTTCCTTCCCAACTGCTTATTAAGAAATCCATCCTCTTCACATCAGTGGGACTTCATTCTACTCAAATTCCATCAATTCCCAATAGCTCCAACACGAGGACAAACCCTAGGAGATGAGGGTGCCATCTCAAGTCTCTTATTTTGGTTATTTAACTGAATAAGAAAATGTGTATAACTGCAGCAAATGACTCCTATCTTTCCTGGAAAACAAACGCAGCCATTTGCTGTGTCTCACAATGTGTCCTTTAAGTCGCCTGCTCCTGCTGCTGTCTGTGGGAGCCAGAGCTGAGGTGCGCAGGACAGACCGCCTGGTTTGGAAACCTTGGAAGCATGGTCTGCTTGTATTACCTGGGGTCATAGATTTAGCACTCATAAAGTCATGTCTGTCTGTTCCTTCTGTGTCTCCAGCCAAGGAAAGAGGAGACAGGAGTAATCAGCCTACTCAAGGAAAGAGGCAGGAGTGATTTGAATAATTATCTATCTTTTAGACAAAATACTGCATTCTATTATGTTATGCAAATTCAAATAATGGGCTTTTTTATGTGAACTACATCCGTTTACATCCTCATTATCCCAAGGTTTCGGTATTCGGCCAGGTAATGACAGCTGTGAAAACAGACTTGGAAACTTACTGCTATCTTCATTAATTTACTGTAGGTAACTGACCTAGTCAAACATCCCTGAATATGATATAAAATTCACAGACTGTGTTTACCCGTGAATCCGGCTGAATTCCAGCTCTGCGTTTCTCATCCCATATTAAACATGACGACAGATGCACCAACAGAGGTTACTGGGGAACCTCTCCCAGGCATTGTCTTGCAGAGATAAAGTTCTGTAATTAAGCTGCTGTTCACCAATGTGGAAATAATACAGTGTATTGGAAAACGGTAATTAACTAAACTATCATCTTTGTAACAGCCTGTTACACATGGGACTCCTTAGAACAGACTTTGCTTGGAGTCCAACAGCTCTTATTGTAAGTTGGGCAGGAACAAAAATGGGGATGAGGAACTTCCCCCTGACTGAGCTGGCTGTTGGTGGCATTATCCTATTACCACTGACACCAATCAGGTGCTAAATGGGACCCAAGGGCTGGGAGAAATGCTACCAACACAATCTTCAGTGTTGTTCCCAAGACTTACCCAACCCCAACGGGCCGGGCTAGGGGTCTGAGAGTATTGGCTGGGTAAGGACAAAGGAGCTCAAGTACGTAAGTGAAATGGTCTCAGGAGATGGTGGGCAGTTTTTCAAAGCATCAGGAGAAAGAGTTCTGATCAGTTCAATAGCAGATGTTTTAGGGAGGGCAATGAGAGCGAACCGACAATGACTTCACATCGTGGGTGGTAGCAGCAGGTGCACCGAGGAATGACTGAGGCTAGGGGTAAGGCAGCTTGCTGAAGCTCAGGCAATTCCACAGTAAGTGGAAGGTCAGGACGAGAACTCACATCTACCAGGTTCCCAAACCTGGGCTCTTTCCTTTTCCTTTTTTTTTTTTTTTTGTTTGTTTGTTTGAGACAGGGTCTCCCTCTGTCACCCAGGCTAGAGTGCAGTGGCCCAATCTCGGCTCACTGCAGCCTTGAACTCCTGGGCTCAAGCAATCCTCTTGCCTCAGCCTCCTGAGTAGCTCGGACTACAGTCACATACCATCTCACCTGGCTAATTAAAAAAAAATTGTAGAGACTGGGGTCTAGCTTTTTTTGCCCAAGCTGGTCTCCAACTCCTGGCTTCAAGCAATTCTGCCTTGGCTTCCCAAAGTGCTGGGATTATAGGCATGCGCCACTACACCCAGCCCAAAACCTGGGCTCTTTTCCATGACACCAGTGTGTCAAGAAATTCATCCTCCCCATACCAGTGAGACTTCATTCTACTCAAATTTCATTACCCCCGTAGCTCCTTACCTTGGAATGTTGGCATAAATCAGTGGTTTTCATCCTTGGCTGGATATCAGAAGCACAGGTGGAGATTTTAGAAATTATGGCAGTCCAGATCTCCCTAATATGACCCTTTGGGAAACAGGGCCCAAGCATCTGTATTTCTAAAAAGCCCCAGAATTAATCACCTCTGACATGCAGCCAGAATTAAAAGCCATTGATCCAGGTGCAATGATTACACAACAATTTAACATTAGTAATGTCTTCTTTACGGGAGTCTTGACTAGTTCATTCATTCAATAAACGTGTTTGAGCTCCTACTACCAGATGAGCTAATGTTCTTGGTAAAGCATCTATCTTGGTCCCTGGCACATAGAAAGTGCTCAATACTTGAATTATATTCATCACCCCTTAATAAGAGCTTCCACTGTTCCAGAGAGAAGGCACATTGATGGCAATGCAGAGGTGAGGAGGCACTGGTGGATCTGAAGCAGAGACAGGCAGGTAAACCATTACTGGCAATGTGGAGCATACCCAGCAAGGGGGGCTGCTAGTGGTGGCAGCAAGCAGGGGAGGCTTTGCCAAGTGATCTGGTTTTGAGATACACAGCGGTGTATGGTAAATGTTCCATGGCTTCTCACTGGAGGCCGTGGGCTGAAACATGCACACTCACTATTCTTACTCTCATGCTAAGCCATTTGCTCCTGAGCATAGTTCTCAGGCCAGGCTGTTTCCAGCAGAAGGGAGAGACTGAGGTTCAGATAATGTAAATGTGTAGCCAGAAGCCAGGATCCAGGAGCCTGGCCCTGGGTAGAGCACTGAGTCACAACCTTCACTCCCAAGTCCTCTGGAAAATGCTACCTCGGAACCCAATGGGCTCATGCACATACCCAGAGGAAAGGACAGTGCCCTGGCCTTTTGACAAGCTTGCGCCTGGGAGGCAGCAGGGGTACAGAGGTAGACACATCATTCACATCCCATCTCTACCCTTCTCACTTCTGAGAGGGATTTCATCAGGGATAAGGATGCCTTCTTCAACTACTGAAGAGGGCTAACAAGATTGCTCAGCACAGGAAAGGAGCCCTAAGGTGTCACTTGTCTCTCCCATATTCCTCATTGCCTAGCCCAGGACCTTTGGATAGAGTAGCCCCTTGGCCACCAACAACCAAGCGTGTCTCTGGGCCAGGCACATCTTTAATTCACTTTATATGCCTTCCCTTGTTGAATCCTCAGTGCAACGCTGTGGGTTGGCATAAATGAAGAAGAAAAATGTGCAGACTGGCAAACTCTTTACATGCAGTTGAAGAAGACATCAAAGGAGTGGAGGCAAGAAAGGGTGTGGAGTTGAAGAAGTGAGGGCCCCTGGGATCTAATCTTTCACAGTGGGTTGGGGCATGCAGACAGAGGCTGCCCACAGCCAGAACAGAGGGGCCATCTGCTTCTCTGTCCCCTGCTGCCCGGCCACCCTGGCCTCAGCCAGCTCCTGTGTGCGATGGAAACCGGGCCAGGGGAGGGCAGGCAAGGCAGAAAGCAACAAGAATTCCAAACTCTGAGCCCAGTGATGGATGACTCATCCCTCACTCCTCATGTCGTCTCCCATTTGTGCAGTTCTCATCTTTATTTCATGAATATTTTATTCTCAGAGCAATGGCTCCACATCCCCCATAAATCTAGCGAGTGGCTCTTTACTGCATCCATGGAGTTTGGTGCATTCACCTGCATTGGGTAACTACATAATCGTCTGATTCCTTAGAAAAAATATGAGCTGAAATCTACATGAATATTAAGGGGTTGAAAGCACATTACTACTCTTCTTCAAGTAAGTGTCTAAACTGTGACGACATCCTAGAGCAAGCCATTAAGCACAACTTGGGCTCCACCCAAAGACAGGTTTCTGGCTCTTAAGAAATATGGCCAATGCCTCAAAATGAAACATTCAAAGATTAACCAGACACTCTCACCTAATTGCAAATGCTGCCCCATAAAACACAGGCAACCAGTAGCACAAAGTAGTTCCGGATTAAATACCATCATTATTTTTTGAAGGTTTTAAGAATATGCTTCTAAAAGACTGTCGTTTTGAGCCGTTTCCTGCCTATTCCCTGCATGATAAAGTCAAAACCTCTCAGTCTGGCATTTAAGTCCTTCGGAGCAGGCCCCGTATCCTTCCCCAGCCTCCCCTGCCAGCATCTCCTTCCTCACGTTGACACTTCAGCCCTTGAGCTCCAGGAGGTATGATGACTTTGTTCACCTCCAGCTGTTCACCCTGCCCAAAATGCAACTTCCTATCTCATCTTTAGTACCAGGGTTTGTATCAATGCTTCAAAGCTCAGTTCTAACAGCTCTGAGCCCCAAGTAGTCTTCAATAACCAGCACCCCTAACCCCTCTGACCCCACCATGCCCTGGCTGGGCTGGATGTCCTCGGTGCTTTTGTGATACCTGCTGATCACTGCAGTACAGCCTGCTCAATGAGTGGAGACTGCTGGGCCCAGCTCTCTGCCACATCTGTGCATGAGGAAGTAAGCTCCCTGAAGGCAGGGGCCAGGTCTCTATAGGCAGGCTTATTAAAGGAAGAAAGGGAGAGAGGGAAGAAGGAAGGGAGACATTGCATTTGAAATTTGGAAACCCATAAAAATATGAAAAAGATGGAACATTTCCATGCAACCCTTCTTAGCAACACCAGAAGGGGTTGGAGGACAGGCAGCTGCTGTGCTTTTCCAACCTGCCTCTCTCCATGTGTCCTCATTCCTATCTGGAAGCAGGTTGGCAACAGGGGCAGGAAGTCCCACATTCTGGAAGCAGGGCTAATGTATTCATCATTTCATAACTGAGATCCTGGACTTATGCAGAAGCCAGAATAAAAGGTAGGATGTTTTACCGGCAAGAAAGGAGCTGTTCCTCACAGCTAGGTTATCCCTTGGTCTCCTGGTCTCTCCATTTTTTTCTCTTTTCTTTTCTGTCTTCCTATCTATGTCTCTTTAACAATCACCAGTCTCTCTCTCTCTTTCTCTGTCTCTCTCACACACATAGACCACAACAATTAACTGTGGGTGGTCCAGGCTGAAATTGTCCAAACCGTCACTAAACTAGGCATTGTGAAGGGACAAAGCTAAAAGCAGACAATGACTTCCCATCCAAAGGACAAGCTCTCCCTGCATGTGGCTCACAGATGATAGGCTAGAGGCTGGGGCTGAGCCTGAACCTGTGTCTCCAGGCCCCCACCCTTGCCCACAGCTGCCCAGGAAGACAAATTCCTGACAGTGCAATTTTCATCCACCTGGAGACCCTCCCCTGCTCCGCTGACACAAGGGGCCTTTGCACAGAGGAAACCAGGTTGAAGACTTAGGGAAAACAAGCAAAATCCAAAACAAACAACACGGAGCGGGTGCAACGTGTGCCAATTTGGGGGCCTGGTCTTTCCCATCCTTCTCATCCTTCTTGGTTCTACTGGGGGTGGCTTTGGGGCCACCCCATCACAGCTGCCTACTGATGCTTCTGTGCATAGAGACCTGGGTGGTAACAAGCAGGTGAAGGGTGCACACTGGTCATGGCGTGGAGGGGCTGACATGATGAGGAGAGGTCAGATATGTGTAGCCCTTCCTTACAACTGCTAGTCAGAATAATTCACTGTCCCTCCCACTGACTTCTTTATACAAAATTTTCCAGTAGCCAAAGAAGCTTGGGACAGAACCATCAACTATTCCTTTCAGGGCCTTTTCCTCAAAGGTCTGTCTTCCTTCCCTTCTGAGCTCCAGGGGTGATAGGACAGCCACTGAGGCTGCAGCTGGCCCCAGCTTCACATTCCCTTACATGGAGATACACAGAAGGCCAGAGAGGAAGACAGATATCCCCGAACATTGCAGATGTACTGAGTTAAGCAGTGTCCTTCCAGGGAAGAGACAGCATAAGGACAGAGAGCTCACTACCTGGTATAATGCAGAGTCCTGTAAGGAGCGAGGGACGCCCACCCCTGTCCTCACCCCTGACCTGCCAGGAATGCCCTTATGGACCAATGAATGGAGGGTGCGATGTGGCCAGACACCCAGGCCACACACATGGTGGACCCAGCCTTGCTGTCCAGAGGTGCCAAATCCCTTCCCCAAATCAGTCTGAGAAGAGCCCGCCGGCTCTTACCTCCTCCTGGCTGTTTTTCTTTCCTGTCCCAGTTTATTTTTTGTGCCCCTTGGACCTTCTACCTCTGAAACCATTTAATGAACTGCCCTGTACTATCTGAGCCTCCAGTAAAAACAAAAACAGACAAAAAACAAAACAAAACAGAAGTGCTTTTGGGTTTGATGCAGGTTGCTTTACCACTTCCTGTTTGAGGTTTATATCCATCTGCACCCACAGAGTCTCTAAGCAGAGCTGTGGTTCTAGACATAGCTGAGGTCTATGTGGCAGAGAGTGACAGCCCCACGGATGGTGTGGCTGGGCATGTGGAGTTTCTGCTGGCAAAGCATCACCACCAAATGACACTACTTTCCACCCTTCCGTAGGGCAAAGGTCTCCGGGGGACCTTGGTGAAGGCTTTATTTCAGAAAAAAAAAAAAATTTAAAAAAGAGCTTGCAGAACACAAACCCAGTAAGAAGGAAGTGTGGAGGGGCAGAATCAGTTTGCAGTTGGCACACATGGGGAGAAATGTGTGCCCAGAACCCGGAGTGTGGACAGAGCTAGTGTCCCCCAGGCTGGGTGCACCCAGGAGGGACAGGGGCAAGGCTGGGCCCTGCAAGCAGGAGGAATATAGGGAGAAAGGAGTGCTGGGAGGGACAGGGATCCCCTGATGCGCTGGGAGAGCAGCGCCCTGTGTCCCTTGGTGAGAAGTAAAAGAGAATCAGGAAGGAATGGGCTCCTCTCTTACCCTACAGGTGGTCTCTCCAGGTCAGGGTGGAGGCACATGGGCGGGGCAGGGTAGGGAAGGGCTCTCTGGCGCTGCCCACGCTGTACCTGCTCTATAGATAAATACAGGACTTTAGTGGCTAAGGCTGGTACTGCAGCACTTTGTTCAAGCATGAAAACATCCCCTACATTTCTTCTCTAGTTTTAAAAACAAAATAAAACAATAACAAAATCCCCCAATATAAAACACTGCTGCCTCCAGACAAGATGACTCAGGTAAATACTAACTAGAAACAACCTGCCCTCCCAATGGCCCAGTGTGACACTCCTGCCTCTAGGCTGTGAAAGGGAGGGCAGGCCCCAGGGTGCTGACCTCCTTGGGGGTCTCCTGGTGGCACCGGTTGCTGTTCCACCACAACTCCAGGGCAGCCACCAGGCAGGCCAGGAGCAGGCCAATGGCCAGGATGCAGAAGACCCCGGCGAAGCTGTGCAGCTTGAGGGATTTGCCGTCGGCCTGGGCGCTGGCATGGCTGGTGAGGTCACAGCGGCCCATGTGCGGCCACCACTTCTGCTTCAGCACATCCAGGTCCCCTGTGTCCTGCAGCTCCAGGATCCTGTAAGACACAATCAAGGTGAGCTATAGCCACTGACGTCATCAACTCAGCCACCGGGGCCCTGGCCCCTGCCCCACCATGCTGGCCCCACCACAGACAACATTGAGCCATCCTAGCAGCTTTCTGCCTTAGCTCTTCTCTTCCCAGTCTACTCTCCACACTGCAGGTAAAGTGTTATTCCCAAAACGCACATTAGGTTTTGTCACTCCCCTCCCCAACAGCCCCTCTGCCCTCTCCCACCCTATTCCACTGCCCAAGGATAAAGTCTAACAGCAAATCACATAAGGCCCATTACATGGATTCTGTGGCAAGAGCTCAAGATAAAACTAGGAAATAGACATGAAAGAGGCAAACATTTAGGTTGTGGATTTAGGATATTCCTGATCATGAAAATGCTTTCTTTTGAGCTTTCATTACTATATCCTAAGTCTCTCCCACTGGGATTCACCAAATTATTCTTACAGTCATTTGATTTGAGGATCTTCTGTGCTTTGCCTAGTATGATGTTCAGCACTACTAAGCTTATGGTCTAGAGATACAATCACTGACCCTAAAAAAATTAGCTCAATCAAAGTGCAGGCAGAGCTGTGATTTAAAAAAATGAATCAAAGTAGAGGTTCCAGGAAACACCACATGGTGAGTGCTGTCCACTGGAGGACTAGAGAAACCCTCACTAAGGAGCTAACATGTAAGGGGAAGCTTGAAGGATGACTAATTATAAAACAGCTCACATGGGTCTAGCATGTTCTAGTGCCAAGGAGTATCCTCCATGCTTGGCAAATAGTGTTGAATCCTCATTTGCATGCCAGTCCTTTGAGATGGTTATTCCTATTTTCCCATTTTACAGAGAAGGAAATCAAGGCACAGAGAGGTGAAATGTCTTGCCAAAAGTCATTATGAGGCTGCCAGGGTTGGCTTTCAACTTGGGGGAGGAAGAAACTTCCTAAGACTAAAACCCCATGTGAAAGTCATGTCTGGGGTAGCACTTAGCACATTTAAGAAGCAGAAAAATGGCCAGTGAGACTATTGGGTGATATGGGAGCAGGCATTAGGTGAGGACAGGGAAGAAGGCAGAGCCCAGAACACAGGCTCTGAGGGGGCATGAGAGGCAGTTTCGATTTCATCATGTGTGCAATGGTGGGACAACCCATGCTGCTTCTATACTCCCCATTGTGGTTTTCTTTGGTTGTGGTATTTTGTCTGTAACCCAGAAGTCTTAACAGAGAGCCAGTGGTAGCTGGTAGTACCCAGACCCCAAACACCCAAGCTTTCATTGGGGAGTGGAGCTCTTTAAGCCTGATCCATGGTGATATTTTCGACTGATATCATCAGTAGAGGTCCCTCTGAGTTCTCTGGGTATGTGTCGTTAGAGAGCAACAGTTGTTTATAGCCAGGAAAAATTCACTGCCCACTGGACAGTTGTGTGATCTCTACCCTGGACCTGCATTCCAGGTCAGCTGTGACCACAAACATGAGGTCTTGCTCAATTCCCACACATGGGCTTGTGTCTGGTGGAGACAAGAGCCACAACCCTGAGGGGGTCCCAAGATGTGTCAGCATCATGGGTCCAGTACAGCATGGCCTCCTGATGGCTGGGAATGGCCTGGCTCAGTGCAAAGATTGGCTTTGGAGGCACCAGACCTCACCTGGACCAGGGACTTGCTCCTACTAAAGATCAGTGTTCTCATCTTTGCAACATAAACTGTTGACCGCCACTTAGATGAGCAGACCCTTCAGGACAGGAGCTGTGGGTTACTCTGTTTTCCCTGAGCAAGCACAGTGGCTGGTACCACTAAGGCTGTCTGTTGTGTCAATAAATGTGTGAATGTACTAATGAGTAATGAAAACTTGACTAAGATGGCTGTGGTTAGATATTGATATAATGTCCTTTAAGTGCTTAGGGCACTGATCAGCATGTAAGACACAGAATGTGGCTGTGCATTCAGTGACTTAGTTGTTAAGATACATGTGCATTTATATGGTTTGGGGTCATGCTTAGATTGCCCCAGAACACTACAGACCTCTCTCATGGCACACCACATGGTGAACTGGACAGCCGCAGTGTTGCACCACCTCATATGGATCATGTCGGGCCAACTCCGTGGCTACATGTCTGCCTGTTCACTGGCCTTAATAAGTCTCTGCTGGTAGGGGTGAGGAGGCTGAGCCTCCTGGCAGTTGCAGGAACCTCAGGGACAGATAGGCAGGACCTCAGGGCCTTTGAGGATGTCAGCAGTTGAAAAACTAGCTAGCTATGGATAGACAGTAGAGCTTCGTGTTCATGGATATCCATTCAAATCCAGGCTTGGAGCCTCTCAAATTTAGCTCTCTCATCACTAAAGCCTGAGGTTATAATAAATGTACCTACCTCACAGGATATTGCGACAAAATGAGAAGAGGGAACACATACAGACCGTTAGCTCGAGATCCAGCCAGTAATCAGAGCTCCATAAAAGCTGGTTAGTAGTTGTCAGCCTGATGGCCACATTGACCAGTAGCCTTATCCTGCCAGCACTGACATGAGCGACCTTTTATAGAGAACACAGTAGGAGCTGATCATATTACACTGTTTGAATCCTCATAACAGCCTGCAAAGTGGTTCTTATTATGTCTATTTTACATCTCAAAGACCTAAAGCTCAGAATCTAGATGACTTGCCCACTGTTGTAATTAGAAAGTGGTGATGCTGCTCATCAGAGCTGGGTCATTCTGACCCAGGAGGCCATGCTCTTTCCAGAACAGCAGGCTGTTCTTCCGGGGCCAGCTTCTGGCCCAGGGGATGGTGAGGCTCTGGCCAGATGGTGGTTGTGGGGTCAGATCCCCACTCCTCCGCTCATTAGGCAGATCCTGTGCAATGTCAGGCAAGTTGCTTAATTTTGCTGACCTTCTCTTCTTCCTGCTCCCTATAATTGTATGCATTTTTTATACCCAATCTTATCCCAGAATGATAGTAAGGCAATTTATACGAAAGCATAACATAAAACAAAAAACCTAAACAAACAAAGGAAATTTAAGTATGGAAGGGACAGAGGAAAGCTAAAACAAGTCACGGGTACAAAATGACTTTGAAAATGAGGCTAAACTAATGCACACCATAATAATCCATACTCTCGCTTACGAGGAAGCCAGAGGGATAATAGCCACTTCCTGAAGCCAGTTGTTCTATTTTCCAGACAGATATAATTGCAGGTGCTTTTTTTCATTCAATAGCTGTGGAGCCTGCTACACAGTAGGTGCTCAATAAATGGCTATTAAGTTGCTAAACATTTATTGAATGCCCCAACTGCATGCTGTGGTCTGCAAGCCTGTTTATAGCACATAAGCCCTACCACACACACACATACATCTACATCCTGTCCTCTGCCAAAGCAAAGGAGCATATCTTTATTGAAGGAAATAGTTTAGTTCCCAGGATGAAGGGGAAGACAGTTATAGCAGTTCCACATAAGGCTGGGACCTGTCATTTATACTAGAACCTGTTTTCTGCAAATGGCATCAGGCATTGCTCTCAGGACCTATCCCTTCATTCCTCTGAAGCTAGAGGCAGCTCACAGTTCTGCATGCACCATACAACAAAGCCCCCCCCCCCTTTTATTTTTTTTGAGAACAGGGTCACGTTTTGTCACACAGGCTAGAGTGCAGTGACATGATCTCAGCTCACTGCAATCTCCACCTCCTGGGTTCAAGCAATTTTCATGCCTCAGCCTCCCAAGTAGCTGGGATTACAAATGTGTGCCACCACATCCACCTAATTTTTTGCATTTTTAGTAGAGACAGGGTTTTGCTATGTTGGTCTGGCTGGTCTTGAACTCCTGGCCTCACGTGATCTGCCCGCCTCAGCCTCCCAAAGTGCTGGGAGCCACTGCACCCAGCCCAACAGAACCTTTTAAAGAACCACTGGCATCAGTAAGTTGGCAACCTGAGGTCTGAGTGTCCCCACTCAAGGGATAATTCCAGCCCAGGAGGAACTGTACCCTACAGGAAGATGAGGAAACTGTGGGAAGCCAGCACAGGCCACTGGTGACATTTCCTTATAATCACAGAGCACATGCCTTCTGATGAAAGCAAATAGTAATCAATCACTACTTGCCAAAATGACATGGAAACTGGACTAGCCACATTTGATTATGGTGACTATTGGAGTCAGGAGAGCAACCCATGGGGTCTCTGTTGGGAGGTTTCACACAGGGACCTCACGGTCAGTGAGTGGACAGGTAGTGGGCAGGCCTGTTTCAGAAAGCCTGGTCTCTGGAAACACACACCCCATGTTGGCCCTGGCCCTGGTCCTCTGAAGCCACACAAAGGACATCTCACTCCTTCTGCCCCCAGCAAGGCTTACGATATTGGAGGTGGGCAGCCACACCCCTCCCCACTCATCTCCACCTTCTCCAGGTTGAGTATTCTCAGGTTCTGCTCTGACCTAATGGGAGCCCCCTCTGCTCTGACTCCATTCAGCAGTCCAGCCAAGACCCGGGTTCCTGGACTAATGTCTGCTGCCTCTTCTCTCCAGTGTGTCAGTGTTCACTTCAGCAGACTCTCAGGAGCCATCTGAGCAGTGTGAGCACACGGGGACTCTAACCTTTCCTCGCTGGGGCCCCTGTGCTTCCATGAGCGCTGCCTTGGGGTACATGAGCAGTCTTGGTGCTGCTGCTGTGTTGGCCCCATGGGCTCTCTTACCATCTGTTCTAGAGAGATGCTCAGAGGTTGATGGTCTGTGGAATCATCCTGAGCCTCCCATTTCGGAAAACCAACTGGTGCGAACCTCAAGAACACCAACGTGTTATAAATCCTGGAGAGAAGCCATTCTTTCTTCATGCATTTAATCTGAGCAATTGATAAATCACTACTCCTCCTTCCCTCTTGTCATCTCTCTCTGCTCCAGAGAGCAGAGGGAGGAAAAGAATGTATACTTGATTAAATTTAAGGGAAAACCCAAAAGCCTCATTTACCTTAATTAGCCCTACTCTTTTCCTTAGTTTTGCAAAGAAGCCACTGAATGGACTGGTTGCAGGCCCTCCTCCTCAGCCTTCCCTTGGTGGGGCTGAGGTCCAGGTACTCATGAGCAGAAGGGCACAATCTGGACATCTAGAGTGTGAGAGAAGGGAGGTCGTGGTGCTTGGAGATCCAGCAGCCACATGGGCATAGCACTAGGGCTCAAGAGACCTGGATTCTACTCCCAGCTCTGCCAGCAGCTGGCTCAGCAACCCAGATATCCTAGTTGCCCTCTGAACTGCAGGATGTTAAAGAAATGGTTTATGAGGACTCTCACGTCTCCAAATAGAAGTTCCTTAGTACTGAAATTCATGCATTAATCAGTCAATGAGTGTTGCCCCTGAGCCTGGCACGATGCCAGCCTTTCCATTCAGATGCTTCTGCCTCATTTTGGATTTGGGTGGACTCTGGCAGAGCCTGCCCCAGGGCTTCTGCACTAGGCTCTGCAGATTCATCCCTTCACCCAGCAAAATGCCCTTCACAGATATGTGCAAGAAGATGGCCCAAGGCTTAGACACCTTGGCGACAGGAGCCCCTGTTTGCAGGCTGACTACTGGACAAAGGCCACTGAACTACCCATGCCCCACTTCCACCCTTCCTGGCTAAGGCCACATCCCTTCCCTGCCCCAGCAGACAGCATCTCCTTGGACCAGGAAAGTTCTGCCCTACAATCAGAGGCCCCATACAGCCACGTGCAAATAAATATGGAGACATTCTGCTTCTCTGACTCTACTTTTTTAAAGTCTCCACATTGACTACTGCCACATTACAGGTACATTTCTCTTTAAAAGTGATTAGTAGGCCCTTATCAGATCCTGCTAATTATTCATTTTTCTGGCTAACTCCTCCTCATTCTTCCAGCTTCAGGGGTGTCCCCTCCTCTGGGAAGTTCTCCCAGATATCCTGGGTCTGGTGAGATGCCGTTTTCTCCCTGCCTCTACCCTAGCATCCTGAAGACGTCCTTGCCATGTGCTAATATGCCCTAGGCTGGCATTACCTGCTCCTATCAGAGATCCCACAGAGACTCTGAGCCTTCCTGGCAGGGACCATATACTTCCACAGGGTCTGAGGGTAGGGGAGGAGGAAGCAGTGGGACATAGTATGTGCTTGGGAAAATATGACGAACAAAGATGTTTGCATTGGCTCTTATCTTCTAAGAGGTTATTCTCCTACCCTTGACCACTAGAGTCCTGAGGCAGCGGTAGTTACCTTGCTGCCCAAGCCTACCTCTGGGAGAAGAGGTCCCTGTAGGGGCTGCCATGCTGCAGGGCAATCCCGTAACCCTTGCTGCTGATGCTGTTGCCGATGACAGTCACCGAGCAGTCGTCATCCGTCAGGGCTGCGTATTCCACCACGGCCACATCCCACAGGAAGGCGTAGTTCCCCTTCTTTGCCTGAAAGATCAAAATTACCATGAAGTCAGGCAGTCCTGGCCAGCTGTGTCAGCTTTGATTGGTGAGCCATCTTGATGGTGGGATTTGAGGGACCCATCCTCAATGGTCTTCCTACCCACCAGACAGCACAGCAACTCTGCTACTGTTTTCTGGCCTACAAATGCCAGCATTGGTTGAGGCCACTCACTTTGACTAGACATAAAAGGTGCGCAGGCCAGCCACAAAACATCTCATGGAGAGGGGAAGGGCAGAGGAGCTAGAGGTGGGCTCTAAGACGAGCTTCCTGGTCACAGTGCTATGGGCCTATGTCTCAGATTAGAGGGCTCAGCCATGGAAAGTGCAGAAAATCTAGTGCCAGGTGACTGAGATTCTGAGATCAGAAATGTTGGGGAGAATAATATTTGGGGATGAGGAATAGGGGAGAATAGAACTGTGGCATATCTTACCCACTGATATTTCTACTTAGAACTTGTCTGAGCTCTGCTTAGGGTGAATGTGGAAAATAGCCCTGAATTCAGTGCTGCGGAGTAATGGTGACTTAATATCAAGCACAAGCACATGTCTAGAGCCCCCTGTGCATGAGGAAAAATCCATTAGGGACAGGGCTTGACTGTTATGGTGCCACGCCAGGCTTCTGCCACTTGTCTTTTACTGCCCACATATGAAGGTATGCACATGCCTGCACACACCCCTACACATGTACACACATGCCTGTACACACATGCCTGCACACAAACACACCTGTGCACACGCACATACATGTGTAATAAGCACACATATATGCACCCATAAATATGTGTGCACATATGCATGCACACACTCACATGCATATATGTTTGTACACACACATAAACATATATATGCACACACAGGTGCAGGTTTCTGGTGTCACTATCTCCACATCAGTGCAGTGGTGGCAGATTCTTCCATCAGGAACTTGCCTGCAGCGACAGCTAAAGCCCTACTCTGTCGCACTCATCCACAGCAGAGGTTCTCTTCTATCCTGAACAACAATTCTAACTTTGCCTGGAGTTTGGGCACTCGGAGGGAATGCAAGCTGCTTTACTTTCTGGAAGGAGATGCAAACCTGACACTGCCACCTGGCCATCTTAAAACAAAGTAGAATGTTCTTAATGCAGCAAAGTGCCTGCCTTTAATGCTATAGTGAGC
This sequence comes from Homo sapiens, assembly GCF_000001405.40. NCBI lineage: Eukaryota > Metazoa > Chordata > Mammalia > Primates > Hominidae > Homo > Homo sapiens. Next base: position 85,621,204 of record NC_000010.11, read on the forward strand.
ACACAGACACCCCTTTGCCGCTTCTTTCCTTTTTACCATGGCTTGCACCAGATGATGGGGGCCTCATTATGGGCTTAGTGACAGCACTGAAACATCACAGACAATAATAGGTCATGCTAGCAAGCTACAGGCTTCTTGGCATTGTTGAGGACATTGTCCCTGGCTCCTGCCTTTGTTCAGTTGAGTCTTCATGTCCACTGAGACTTTCCAAAGAGTGTCGTAGCTACTTAGATGAAGTTAGTCAAGATTTTATTTCTTTCAAGACCCCAAGTGCTCATGGCCCAAGACAGCTTATTTCCTTGTCAGAAGTTCTCCATTAGAAGGATTTGTGGGCAGAGTGTGACCTCCTGCAGTGGGAAGAGCCTGTTCCCAGACATTCAGACAATTTTGCCCAACGACCTTGTAAGAAATGACACACACCTGTGCCACTCATTGACTTTCACCTCGAGGAGCAATCCAAATATTACACCAAGGCTTCAGTCCTCAGCCAATCCAATTTCAGAAGTCCTAAAGGACTTTGACCCAGGTTGCAAAATTACACACATCTCTCTCCTTCCTTGTAGGAAGATAACAATCCTATAAATTTTTCCTGCTGGCAAACAAGTTTTCTCACAAAAAGATAGACATTTTCAACCTCTTAGTAACCAAGTTTCTCAGCAAAATGTTGACTTATGACCTAATATTTGGCTTTAGTCAGACTTTGGAGCATTTCACATCCATGCTTGCAATTCAACATGACAATCAGACATTGTTATTTCTATGATTTCAAAAGGGTATGTCACGTTGAGGGAAAAATTAAGATAAAGGTTTGTTTCTACATTTCAAGTGATGCTCCAAGAATGAAAACAAAATATGCTGGCTTAGAGAGAATGGAAAGGGACTCCAAGGAAAGCCTGATGTGGCCACTCTAATGGGGCACTTGGCTTCCTTCAAGCCATTTGGGCATTTGTGACTCAGTTTGGGCTCAGGGACAGGTGAGCACAGCTGCATGAAAGCACCCACATTTATAGTCCTGCTGGCCTAAGCTGAGAAAGAGGGAACATCCAGAAGGGATGCTGGCAATGGCTCAGCCTCAAATCCCTGCTAACCAGGAAGGAAGTCCGGAGGAGACAGTAGGAGCTGCCTTCTGGACCTACTGAACACTCCATCTCCCCATTTGCCTATTTGTAAACAGGGACTAAGTTCATCATTATATTTATTTTTTCTTTTTTTTAAAAAAAATATAGACAGTCTTGCTATGTTGCCCAGGCTGAACTTGAACTCCTGGGCTCAAGCAATAGTCCTTCTTCAGCATCTTGAGTTGCTGGGACTACAGGTTCACGCCACTATGCCAGGCTGCCAATATATTTCTTGTGTCTGCTTGAGGAAGCATGTGGCTGGATCCTGAATCTGTCTGAAAATGCCAAAGCAGGAGCACCTGGAGAGGGTGCTATCCCACATTTTGTGATGGGAGCTGGAGGTAGGCTCTAGGATGAGCTTTCTCATCATGGCATGGGCTTATGTCTCAGATCGAGGGGCTCACCTTTGGAGACGGCAGAAAATCTAATGCCAGGGGATTGCAATTCTATGGAAATGTAGGGGAGTATAACAGTGTGGAGATGAGAAAGAGGGGAGGATGGACTGTGGTAAATCTTACCCATTTGATATTTCTACTTAGAACTTGACTGAGCCCTGCTTAAGGTGAACACAGGAAATGGCCTTGACTTCAGTGCCTCCAAGAACTGGTAACAATATCCAGCACAAGTACATGCCTAGAGCTCCCTGTGCATGGGGAAGAACACTTTATGGACAGGACCCTGACAGGGCCAAATCAGAAGCTCCAATAGTGGCAGGACAGGCCAGATTCTAGCTCTGTCCTTAGGAAATACCCTCCATTCCTAAATGTCGTCTTCACTTCCTTGGCATCCTAGAGCTTCCTCAGCCTTTCTCTTTCAACTCCATGCTGAGTAAAAGGCAGTGCTGAGGCTTTCTTTGGGTCCCCAAATTCATTTATTTCCAGAACTTTCTGGACTTGCAGACATCTCCCCAGTTTCCAGTGTGTCACAGAGCCTGTCTGAGACATAAGGCTTCTTAGGTCTGACCATACTGTCAGGAACATTGCAGACACCAGCTCTAAGAAGTTAAAATATCCCACCCATCATGGCCCTGTTGTCTTTATACAGACCCTCTTCTTGTTTCCTTGCAGAATGAGCTCCATCCTGCCCCACAAAAACTCTAAGCTTTGCTTCCTCCTTGTAGGGTCAGAATCAGTTTTCCACGTGGCCCCAAATAATGATGAATTCACCCCCTTATTCTGTGCTACTTATCCACAGGTCTGGCTTCCCCACTACGGGGGGCTGGGGGGAGGACACCAAATATATCAAGCATCTGCCTCCAGGACAGCCAAGCAACTCCTCTCTTCCCTGCCCCTCCTGTTGCAAGTTCACCCTCCTCCTTCCTTGAGTCTCAGCATTTCCTCCAATCCCACTCCTAGGTTCAGACCCCTCCTCTGTGGGTGCAACCTCTTATCTAGCCTCTAGTTCTATCAGGAAAGCATGTCTACCCCTTTCTTGCCTTGCTCCATCCCTTCATTTCCATTTCAGAGATCTTTCACATTAGGAAGCATTTGTCATTTCCTATTTATATTAACTCTTTTCTGTTGAGGATGTTTTTCAGGCTCTGGAAAGGACAGAGCATCAGCAGGAATCTAGCTTCCTTTCAACCTTGTGCTGTGGTCTGGTGCTTGTAGAGGGAGGAGGATGAACCCAGCCATCTCCTTGCAGGTGTCCCAGAGTCCCTTGACCAAGTGTCACAACAGATATTTAGATCTGCTATTTTTTGCCACTTCCTATTCAAACCAACTCCTTCTTCCTGTATCTCCCAGTACTGTCTTGTCCCTACTTACAGGTGGCTGTGGGGAGTTGAGGAGGATAATGTCTGAGAACAGGCATGATAGGTGGTGAGCTGTTTGCAAATAGATTATTGGCATTTATCTCATAATGCCTAAAAGATAAAAGGGATGCCACTGATTTGAGTTCTGCTATTAAAATAAAACAAAAACAAACACTGTATTTCACCTTTCAATGGGTTAAATTACCTTTATCTGGCCTGGCTAGTCCATTTATAATATGAAATGCATTCTGAATTTCCAATCGCTGACTTACCATGGATCAATGCCTTAGCATAAGGCTGGTGGAAACTTAGGCTGGAGACAAGGCTGTGGATACAGCCAAGCTTACTCCAAGCCTTGAGCTGTCTGCAGAGCCTAGGTGGGCATAGACACCCAACACTCCAGGCCCTTTTGACCCCACAGAGCCCTTCAGGACTAGATACGGAGTCCTGGGACTCCAGCCCCCACGTTTCTTCCAGGAGCTATGAAACGTATTTGCAGATCATCTAAGAAAGTAGAGGTCTGAAAACTAATATGTGTAAGTGGCCAAATTACATTTCTAGCGGTTTCTTAAAAAATTGATAATATCTAGTGGTAAAGAAACTGTGAAAAAAATGTGCGTAATCCTTCATGGCTACCGGCACCACAAAATGATGCAATCCTTTGGAGAGTAATACAATAATACAGAACACAAATGTTTAAAGCTGCTCATGTCTTTCACCTTTGCAAGTTGGGAATTTCACCGAAAAAGTAACCTAAATATATCTAAAATGCATGACAAATATTCTAAATTAAGAGTTGACTCTAAAGTAAACATAAGGTTTAAATATTTACTATTAGGGAAATAACAATAAATTATGATTCATAAATGTGATAGCATTTTATGTAACAGATAGTAATATAAAGACTTTACAAAAACACTATATATTTATATATAGACATATATATGAATACTTAAGGAAAGTGGCAGAAATAATAGGATGAACAGATTATTATTGATAGATACGGTATTATTACTGTTGTGTGTACATGTGAAATGTAATATTCTAAAAGATTGATCATCACCTAATAGAGTGGGATAAGTGATAATTTTCTAAACAAGTGGGTGAAAGTGTTGTGTTTATTTAACCTTGTTTCACAGTTTGTTCTATCATGCATGACACAGACAACTAATCCAATCTGCATACCCTGTGTGCCCCTGGCTCCACTGGAGCAGTGCCCTGGCCCATCAACAGGACACAAAGGCCTGGGAGAGCTCTCAGACCTCTCCAGGACACTGGCTCCCTGATAATACCCAAGCACTTGGGAAAATCTCCTTGACATTTTTGGCCTACTTCTAAACATTTTACTTCATTTCATTCTCCGCTTTTCCTAAAAGAAAAGTAAACAAACAAACATGGTCCAGACAAAAAAAGAATAGATGCAGGAACTTTAGTGAAAGGAGGAAGAATATCTTGGCATGAGAAAAAGTCAAAGGCATGTGAGCATCCATCCCTGGGATGCCAGGACAACAGCAGCTAGAGAGACCACCCAGCCTTGTCCCCCAGCAAACACCTTAGCAAGCAGATTCCCTTCTCAGTCTACCTGCTCCCTGGGTTGTTGCAAAAGGAAAAAAATTGACATGGTGAGGGAGTCTGGCTCTAACACTTACAGCATCCTCCCTAACATTTAGCAGAATATGATTGGCCTCTATTTGCTGGAGGAAGGTTGGGCTCTATAAAAGAAGCCACAAGTGAGCTGATTGGATGACTTGCTTGTGTTCCATGACTTCACACTGGCAGTAAAATGAGATGGCATTGCCTTTTGTTGCTCCACTGATTCCACCCCTTTTGGAACTCACTTGGAGCACAACCTTTCAGAGACATCAGCCTTTAAGGCAAGAACCTCATTACGCTATTCCATTCCATCCTAACTGCTTTGGAAAGGGACAAGCAACCACACTGCTCCCCCCAAATGAGAATGCTGGTGCTGCAAACATCAGTCAGAAATGCTATCTGAAAGGAAGCACAGAAGGAAGACAGGTGCCTGTAGTGCCAGGTGCAGGGTAGGTGTGGGGCACCCACTGGGTACCAAGGCCTTCAGAAACCTGATCCCTTTTTTATCCATATAATACTTCTCGAGGGCAGAAGATTCCACCCCATTTACAGACAAAAAGACTGAGGCTCCAAAAAATTAAATGACGTGTCCCAAACAAGCCTGAATTATGAACAGTGGAGCCATGTCAACCTGAGTTACATCTGGCTCCAAAGAAGTCTGTGCTGTCTCCTCTGCCCTGGTTAGACTTATGAAGTATGGACTGGGGAAAATTCACCTACTGTCTTTGCTCTTGGACCACTTCCTAGGGGACATTGCTGGTGACAGACCACACACAAATGGCAATGCCTGTCTTTCCCTAGCTTTAGAAACAAAAGTGTTTCATGGAGTCACTGAAACTCTGGAAGAAGGGAGGACATGGGGTCTGCCCCTTCTCTGTACATCAGGGACTCTTTGGAAACCTGACACATTCTCATGTACATTCACCATCCATGCAGAGTGCATTTTGCCTCTGCTTGCAGCCACCATTTATCCTAACGAAGCAGAGTTCAGCCTTTTCAAGCATCCCAAGTCTTAGTTCCTATAGTCACGTTCATTCAATGGCAACACATTACCACATGCAGCCTGAACCCTGGCTACAGTGTTACCTGTATTATGTATGTACCATGCCAAATTGTAAGATTCAACAGTAAAAACCCAGACCATCTGCAGAGAAAAAGACAATTTTGCAATCGGCTGGTGGGAGTGTGGCTGGCGTGATATTTCTGGAATGGCAATTTGGTGGGGAGAATTGAATGTTTTTAAAATGTGTACATGCAGCGATTCTACCCGTGGGATTTATCCTAAGGAATTATTCAATTTTCAAAAAATGTTTGCATAGAGATTTTTTCAGGGCTACACTGTTTAAACTAGTCAGAAGTTGGAAGCAACCTAAATGCTCAATAATTGGGAATCAGATAGGTGAATGATAGTATTAGATGGTGGAACATTATGTTACCATTAATATGGTGCTTTAAAAGAGCATTGATTGTTAAGGGAAATTTCCATGGGAAAAAAAAGAGGCACCCCTGAGCTATGAACCAGCCTGGGTTACTGAGTCCAACTGTATGAGTTTAAATGCTAGCTCCACGCTTGCTGCCTGTGCAGACAAGTTGTTTAACATCTCTGAGTCTCAGTTCCACTGGATAAACTGGTCCCTACTTCACAGAGTCCTGATGAGGATTAAATTCCTCAATATGTGTGATGTGCTCAGGATCTTGCTTGACATATGGTAAACGCTAAATAAATAATAATCTATCTTATATTGTTTAGTGGAAAAAGAACCTGTTACACTAGAGTATTGACATTGTGACCGCCTCTTAAATTATTATGTAAAACTTTATGTTTGTGAAGAATCAAAAATAAGTGCCAAATACAAGCCATGGTCATCTTTGGGAGGTGCCATCATGGGTGGCTTTTGTTGGTTTTGAACATCTCTGTGTTGCCTATGTTTCCTGCAGCTCAGCAAGCCTCACCTTTTGTGATTACGGATATCGAGGCTCGGCCTCCTTCCTTCTGCACAGTGCAGCAGAAAAAGCAGGGTGCCCATTGTCACAGCCCAGCTCTCCAGTGACCCTACTGTCTCAGGGGCTAAGAATTGTTTCCTAAAAGGAAGGTTGGGAGTGGGAAATTCCCGAAGGCAAAACACTGTACCTGGTACAGCATGAGGGCTCAACGCGAGTTCCGTTTCCTGCTCCTTCCTTCAGTTCCCAGATGGTCAGGAGATCCATCTGTCAGCTGTGATTGAAGCATTTTTCCTCCACCTACTCCCCTCCTGCCAGTCACTCCCCCACCTTCACCAAGTCAGCAACACACTCTGTGTGAGTAAGCAGTGTGTGTGCATGAGTGTGTGCATGCAGAAGAGTGTGAGCGTGTGTGTGTGTGCATGAGAATTGTGTATGTGCATATGTGTAAGTGTGAGGGAGATGTGTGTGTATAGATGTGTCCATGTGGATGCACGTGAGAATGTATGGGTGGGTGAGTGTGTGTGCATTCAATAATACATGTTAGTGTCTATAGGTATGTATTTATGTGTATGTGTGCATGGGAATGTGTGTGTGTATGGGTGTGTGAGTGTGTGCATGTTGGAATAATATATGTGCAGGTATGACTGTGTATGTGTGTGAATGTATGTGAGGATGTGAGAATTATGTGAGTGTGTACATGTGTAAGTGTGAGGGAATGTGTGTGTGTGAAGGTGTGTGTATATGTATGTGAGAATTGTATAAATGTGTGTAGGTTGATGAGTGTGTTTATGTGTGAGTGTATGAGTATGTGTATTATCGTGAGCACCATTGCCCCCAGGGAGGCAGCAGAGAAGAGGACTCAGGTACCAAGCTGCTGGAGAACCATGAAGGGTTCAGAAAAAGTGGACCTTCAGCTGGAGATAAAGAGCCCATCTCTAAAGAGAGAACAATGGAGAAAGGTGATGCAGAATCAAAATGATGTGAGGCTGTGAGGCAGACCATTGGTGGGCCCAGCTAGGAGGTTGTCAGGAAACCTGCTACCCAAAGAATGAAAGGTAAAGACTTTTTATCCAGATCAGACTCTGGACCAGCAAAAGGAGGCAAACCAGGACAGGCTCAGTCGGGGGACAAGAGATTGCAGCTGAACTCTCCACAAATACTGAAAAAGCTGCTTTCCTGAGGGTCCACAGGGTGCAAAGTTAATTTGGCTCCTGGCTGCAGCCCAGAGTGAATAGAATGGGAGTGGACAATGAGTTGACACAACCAAAGGGGAGCAAGGCCATCTAGCAGTGGGAAGGCCTCTGGCTTGTGTGGCATGCAGAGCACAGACATGAGGGCAGCCCTTAGCTTTGTCATGAAAGTCCCAGAGAGGCGGCCCATGACCTGGGCAGGACAACCGAGAAGATGGAGGTGTTCCCAGGCTACAACAGTAGGACATGGCTCCTGATGGCCAGGCCCCAGGATTTCTGCAAATGATTGCCTGTCTCATCCTGGTATTCCTGTGTCCTAGAGTAACATAGTCAATAGTGAGGAGGACAGCAGTGGATAGAGAGAATGAGAGTAATTTTGCATCTCAAAAAGGCCACCAATCCCTTTTTTTCCATGAGTTCCTTTTCTTTGTTAGAAAATTTGTACGAATTTAAAGGGTACAAGTGCAGTTTTGTTGCATGGATGTATTGCATAGTAGTGAAGTCTGGGATTTTATTGTAACCATCACCCAAACAGCCTATATTGTACCCTTCATGTAATTTCTCATCCCTTACCCCCATCCCACCCTCCCACCTTTCCAAGTCTCTAATGTCTATTATTCCACACTCGATGTCCAGGTGTACACATTATTTAGCTCCCACTTAAAAGTGAGAACATGTGGTATTTGATTTTCTGTTTCTGAATTATTTCACTTAAGAGAGTGACCTCCAGTTCCATCCACGATACTGCAAAAGACATTATTTTATTTTTGTTAATGGCTGAATAATATTCCTTTGCATAAATATACATATATATCACATTTTCTTTATCCAATCAACAGATTGATTTCATATCTTTGCTATTGTGAATAGAGCTGCTATAAACATATAACTACAGTTATCTTTTTGATATAATTTTCTTTGAATAGATACCCAGTAGTGAGATTGCTGGGTAGTTCTATGTTTAGTTTTTTGGGAAATCTACATACTGTTTTCCATAGAAGTTGTAGTAATTTACACTCCCACCAGCATTGTAGAAGCATTCCCTTTTCTCTGCATCCTCACTAACATCTGTTATTTTTTGTCATTTTAATAATAGCCATTCTGACTGGTGTAAGTGATATCTCACTGTCGGTCTAATTAGCATTTCTCTGATGACTAGTGATGTTGTGCATTTTTTTCATATGCTTGTTGGCCATTTGTATGTCTTTGTTTGAAAAATGTCTACTCATGTCCTTTGCCCACTTTTTAATGGAGGGACAGATAGCCAGAATTTGTAAGACACTCAAACAACTCAACAACAGCAACAATAGCAGAAATGCCTTTTCTCTTATGTTATCTGCCCTTTGATTTTTTAACTTCCTTTATAGAGTCTTCAATCCCACTTCACAGACAGCACGGCATGGTATGTTGGCAAGAACAAGGGTTTGGAGACAGGTGGACCAAGTCTTTCTTTAGCATCCTTGGCCAGCTATCTAAGCCCTCTGAGCTGAATGCCCTCACCTAGAAGACAGGAATAGCATGCCCACCTCACACACTTGTCACAGGAAAAGACAGTGTGGAAAGTGCCTGGTGCATTGAAGAAACGCAGACAACAACACGTTATTCTCATGGTCATGACAATCATTACCAGCATTACCTTACAGCTTAAAGTTTGGATCCTGATAACAACGCGAGTGCCTTGGAATAAATAGCACGTGAAATTGTCCTCAACCATCAGCCTAGTAAATTAGAAAAACTGTTAGACTAGGCTGGGTCACAGTCTTGGCCCAATTATTCATTTCATATCAATTTATAAAAATGGAAGAGGGGCACAGGTGGTCCTTCAAGTCTTCTCCAGATCTGGTATTCTCAAAGTCTATGCTATAGACTAGTGATTCTCAAAGTGTGTTTTCTGGCCAAGCAGCATCAGCTCACTGAAGAACTTATAAGAAATGTAAATTATCAGGTCCCATCCCAAGACCCACCAAATAAGAGACTCTTGGAACGAGGTCCAAAATGCTATGTTTTAATAACCTTTACAGGTGATCCTGATGCATGCTAAAGTCAAGATGTAATGACTTAGACCTCTGGGTCAAATAATTTCTGATCTTCTCTTGAACACAGGTTTATAAAGGGAGATAGTATTAAAGCTCTAGGGTGTTGAATTGGAGTACTGAATGGAAGAAGGGAAACCATAGAGTTGAGAGACCAAGGCTACTAAAAACAAATTTTAAAGGAAAGTCACACTGAATATCTTCCTGAAAAGAACTCTACTTTATGCTTTACCAGCTATTCTCTTCCCTTACCATCAATTCTGTTCCCTGAATTTCTTAGAAAGTTCAGGATAAACTTCCATAGTCCAAATTGTGTACATTTTCCACCCAGGGAAATTGAGGCTCAAAAAGAACCAAGGCCACAGAATTTGCTATTGGCAGAGCTTCAGTTCCTCCTCAGATCTCCTTGACTGCAAATTGCCTTCCTCTCTGTCACATCAAAAGTTTAATATCAGTAGCCCCAAACAGCCACATTGAGCCCCCTGACCATCCTGTCCTCATGCTGGTTTTTTCCCCTCTTCTGCTGCCAGATTCTTGTCAAGCTTTTGTTAATGACATCTGCCTCCAGCATCTGACCCTGTGGAGACATTATGGCTGCATTCCCTTTTGGGGCCTCCAGCACTTTGGGGAGGAATAGTTTTGTTTATTGAGCAAAAAATTGTCCTAGTAAAATAAGGTTTCTTATATTTTCAAGAAAAAAAGAAGCTGGTTTGGTATAAAGGAAAAAGAAAAGTCCTAAGTTGGAAAAATCAATGCCTCTTTTCTCAAAATCTGCAATTGTACACTATCAACAAAACTAGGGACTATAAACAACCTTGTCAGTAGGGCAAAGGGACACATTGATTTTCAATGATTTGTCAAAATTTTAAATTGTCCAAAGACCATGATAAACAATAATCTAATCTGAGTTATTCCATGGGAAAAATTAAGAATGACCTAAAAGAAAGAGCAAATTGGTGTGCCTGGATACAAAATAGATTACAAAGGGAAAAGAATACAGAATGAAGAATGCCATCCCAGGAAATTGAAACAACTTAAGAATACATGAATTCAGGTTACACAGATGACAAGCATACATGTGGTCAAATAGCCCATAAAGCACAGGAAGAGGACTGTGCAGATACTCCCTGTGTGCCATGTAAACACATATGCACACACACACACACACACACACACACACAAGAATGTAAGCTTGACCATGCATGTCCTGTTTGCTCCCCTAGCATGATGTCTGGCATAGAGTTGGTGCTAAGTAAATATGTGTAAAGTGATTGAATAAAAGATGAAAGGATGGCAAGTAGAATCTGGGAAGCCAGGAACCTTGGTCTTGGCTTGACTGAGCTGCTGAATGGGGCACATCCTGTTTGCCCCTCCAGGTCTGCCCTCCACCCTTTTCCACCCTGAAGTCTCTTCCAGAGGCTTCACAGACAGCATCAATGGGCACCCTTGGCCTCAGTTTCTAAAATTCAAGAATAAATAAAATACTAACAAAACAACAATCATGACAATAAGCACCATTTGTTCAAGCAAATGTTCTCAAATTCAGAAGCCATAAGGATCACCTGGAGGGCATTTTAAAACACAGACTGCTAACCTCCCTGTTGCCCAGCTTCTAATTCTTAGATCTGGAGTAGAGTCCAAGAAGGTACATTTCTAACAAGTTCCCACATGATGCTGGCGGTGTTGGAACAAGGCCCACCCTTTGAGAACTACACTGTTAACATATACTTTTTAAGGTTTTTTTGTTGTTTTGAGATGGAGTCTTGCTCTGCTGCCCAGGCTCACTGCAACCTCCACCTCCCAGGAACAAGTGGTTCTCGTGCCTCAGCCTCCCGAGTAGCTGGGACTACAGACATGTGCCACCACACCGGGCTAATTTTGGTATTTTTTAAAAATTATTTTATTTGAAGGTGTGGGATACATGTGCAAGATGTGCAGGTTTGTTACATAGGTAAACGTGTGCCATGGTGGTTTGCCACACCTATCAACCCATTACCTAGGTATTAAGCCTCACATGCATTAACTATTTATTCTGATGCCATCCCTCCATCCCCCAATAGGCCCCAGTGTGTGTTGTTCCCTTCCCTGTGTCCATGTGTTCTCATTGTTCAGCTCCCACTTATGAGTGAGAACATGCAGTGTTTGGTTTTCTGTTCCTGTGTTAGTTTGCTGAAGATAATGGCTTCCAGCTTCCTCCGTGTCCCTGAAAAGGACATAATCTTGTTCCTTTTTATGGCTGTAGAGTATTCCATGGTGTATTAATTTTTGCATTTTTAGTAGAGATGAGGTTTCACCATGTTGTCCAGGCTGGTCTTGAACTCCTGACCTCAAGTGATCCTCCCGCCTCAGCCTCCCAAAGTGCTGAGATTACAGGTGTGAGCCACCATGGCTGGCTCTTTCACATCACTTCTAATCTTTACAATAACTCTGATAAGACTTGGTATTATTATTCTTATTATTCAGGAGCCCATTAATTTTCCCAAGATCTCACAGCTGGTAAAAGATGGATACGAGAGCCAAATCCAGTTCTTTCAGACCCAAATCACATTCTCCATTCACTATGCTATGTTGCCTTTAACGGAGCGTTTGACTTTACTGAAACAAAGTTTGAGACCCATGAAACTGTACCCTGAGGCCAAGGTGGCTTTGCTGTCTGAAGCAGCTTCCTCTTAAAGTCTCTTTAGCCATAAAGGGTTGCTGGGAACTGGCAACACGAACTGTGCTGTGAGGATAGAGAAGCAAAATTGCATGCTATCCCAATTAATATTAACGAACATCCCTTCATGTGCTGGGAGACTGTCTCCAGGGGCTTATGTGGAAGAGCCTCATCCTCTAACTCCATTTGTGGCTAAGTATTCCTTTATAGCCTTTGCTAAAATGTCAGAGCTCACACAACAGCCTTGGAGCACTTTGAGGAGCTACAAAAGAGGTCACATTCTGACCAAAAAGATACAAATAGACTCTCACTCCTCACAGCTGAACAAGCTGTGGGCTCTACCTGTTGGAATTTACAGCTTTGTAAAGTCAAAAGAACCATAAAAGTTTACTGGTAGAGGGCTGGGCGAGGTGGCTCACATCTGTAATCCCAGCACTTTGGGAGGCTGAGGTGGGCGGATCACCTGAGGTCAGGAGTTCAAGATCAGCCTGACTAACATGGAGAAACCCTGTCTCTACTAAAAACACAAAATTAGCCAGGCGTGGTGGTGCATGCCTATAATCCCAGCTACTTGGGAGGCTGAGGCAGGAGAATTGCTTGAACCCAGGAGGCGGAGGTGGCGGTGAGCCAAGATTGCACATTGCATGGTAGCCTGGGCAACAAGAGCGAAACTCCATCTGAAAAAAAAAAAAAAAGTTTACCAGTAGAGGGGCTTTATAGGGGTAGTGGGGGAATTCCTGCACAGCCCTGATGGGGCACCTCTCTCTCTCTCTCTCTCTCTCTCTCTCTCTCTCTCTCTCTCACACACACACACACACACACACAGACTACAATTTCAAAATATAGGACCCAGAGCAAATCTTAATATCCTCATGTTGTAGAGTGAGGAGACCTATCAGCTGTTTATTGGAACACCCCATCCCGGTGGAAACCACTACTTCTACTCAAATATGTTTTATCTTATTGATGATGACAAGATAATGATGACAATGATAATAACAGTAGTAATAACAAAAAGACACAAAAATGGTAGAAAGAGACAGCTAATTTTCAGGAAAATAATTTAGTTTTTTGAGTTTTGCATTCCTTATTTGCAAAATGGAAACACGCCACAAAAGGTCCTCAATGGTGAAGATAAAGTGCATAAGCACAATGCCACACATATTAATTTCTTTGTGAATGTTATTTTCTTCATTTTCTCTTCCCTCTTGCTCCTGAATAAACATTATGCCAATAAAGTGGAAATAAAAATAAGCTAAACAAAAATTGCCAACAATCTGGCTGACATGATAAATCAAAATTATTTTCATCAGAAATTTCTTCTTGATTTTAATGTAATCAAATAACAAAACAATTCAGTTCAAAATGTAAAAACTTAAGTCATAAAACCCAAAGCAATAATATTCAATGGAACAAACAGAATGGAATCAGCCCACATTTACAGCCAGCACTAAGGTGAAGCGTATCAGACCTGGGTACAAAGCAAATTACAGGGCAGAGGAAATCTGAAAAAAAAAAAAAAAAAAAAAAAAAAAAAAAAAAAAATCAGATTTAAGAGAAGTCAACATCCTCCCACTTCCTCTAATAAGAAGTTTGAAAATAATCAAGGTTAGCATGGTGGCATGGATATTGGTTTGATTCCAGAGCTTACTCTATCAAATTATAAAAATCGTAAAAGAAAGTAATTGAAGAATTCATAATGAGATTTGCTTGGCAATGCTCAAAACCCAAAGCAGAATAATTTAATAAGGGAGGCACAGTGGGGGCTTTCCTTGACATTTGGACTGTATTATCCCAAACCAATCATCACCAAACAGAATTAAACAGCAAGGAGTTATAAAGGGGCCAACTCAGTCAATTGTATGGCAACTGGCTCTAGTAAGACTGACTCTGCCACCCAGGCCCAGGGCAGAGGACCCCCTGCCCTCCCCTGCCCCCTCCTTGCCCTTACTGCAAGTGGACCCCAGCAATTTTGCTGCTCACTCATGTTTAAGAAAGATGCATATGAATGCTATTTCTATCCACTCTCATTTCTTACTCATTGAACATTTACTTTGATTTTTGAAAGGTTAAGAGACATTGAGTAAGTGCTTTATCCATGCCTACCTCTGCCCTCAGCCAGCCCTGAGGACAAATAAATAAAAGGCAGGCCTCACTCTAGAGAAGCCCCAAGTCTAGCAGGGCTGTGACAGAGCAGGGCACTGAGGGTTGGATGGCATCTGGTGAGGCTGCACTCTGGGATGCACTGTGTGGTAAGGGGAAAGGGAAAGCCCAGGGAAGGCTCAGGAGACGTTAATGCTTCTGTTATGGCCTGAGGGATAACCAGGAACCAGCCTGGCAGGCAGAGAAAGAGACTGGTGCTCCAAGCAGTGTGGGGGAGCTGAAGTTTCATTCTGATCACGAGTTCCTTCCATTTCTGCAGACTGTCACGGGGTAACGACAAGGGCGCTGGAGTGAGAAGAGTTCAATACTGACTCAAGCTTGATTGTCAGCAAGTCCCTTGCCCTCTTGGAACTTCAGTTTCCTCATTAATGAACTGGTTGTGCTGAAGCACAATAGACTTGATGCATAGGAGAAACTTAACCTCACACCTGATCCATGCCAGGTTTCTCTCATGGTAGCTGTTGTGATTAAATTAATCTCCTGATTGTCCAAACATTGACATAAGGCCCCAGTGGAGGAAAGGAAGACCCCGGGTAAAATAAGAAAGGATACAAAAATCTTTTACTTTTGAAATAATATACTGTCCCAAGTCGGTTTTTGTCTTCTCTTCTAACTCAGTTTTAGGAGGAAAAGTGTCATGTCCACTTTTACATATTAACTGAGTTCAGCACTAGTAAATGAGTTGATGAATAAATGAATGAATAAATGGATAAAAGACAAAATACTTCACAGAGTAAATCACTGCAGAAATCTATATTTAAGGAAGAAATTTACATGTCCATCACTTCTGATTATTGAACAACCACAGACCGCTAAACATTCATGATCTTATTCAATTTCCCCAATTAGCCACAGTTTATAATGGCAACGCTCAGGAAAAAAAGATTGAAAAGAAAATGATTGCTGTTCCACTGTAGTCCCCAGAATTATAAAGCAAAATAAAGCAAAAATACATGCATACACAAATACCTATGTACAAATATAAACAGAAAAAGGAACAAAAAATCACAATGAAAGATATGAGAAAGTAGAAAAATACTAATTTATTTTTTAAATCTTAAGATAAATCACAAGGAGTTGATGAAAAAAAATCCACTGACAAATAAATATTCTTTTGATCCCAAAACTAATAATGTAATTCATTCAAAGCCCTGCTTTTGGTGATATTCAGTAATACTTCATCAAGGGCTTTAAATGTTTATATCCTTTTTGGCACCATAATTCTACTTTTGAGAATTAGACCTACAGAAATAAATGTAGTAACTGAAAAACATTAGGCATAAAGATGTTCATTACAATGTTATTTATAACTGTAAATAACTGGAAATGACCCAAATGGCAATCAAGAAGGGAATGTTTAAATAAAATTTTTACATCAATTTACATCTATTTGATAAAATACTAGTCACTAATTTTTATAAAGTTTTACCACATTGTCAGAAAAATCTTTTTTATAAAGTTTTACCACATTGTCAGAAAAATGCAGGATGAAATATTTTTATAGCATTATAATTATATAAAACGTTTGTAGAAATTCTAAAAAGACTAGACAGAAATATACAAGAGGATTCTTGGAACTGCATTTAGGTGGTGAAAAAAGAAATATTTTAAACTTTTCTTAATGGGAACTTATTGCATGTAAATCATAAATGTATAACCTAAAGATTTCCTCTCAAAACTGCTTATTATTTTAAAAGTTGATATGGACTGGGGGAGATTTGAGTGGATCTGCCGTTGGGTGGACTGCAGAGTCAAAGCATGTGAAAAAGGTTTAGGCACATTTTAATTGGTCAAGGCCTATAGAACTCAGGAGGCTGAAGCCCAAGACCATGGGAGGCATATTGAAGACAGCAACTGTGAAGCAGTGAAAAGACCACTGCCCTCATTCTCCTACAAGGAAGCTACACATTTAGTAGAAATAAACTACTGCTAAAGCTACACATTTAGTAGAAATAAATGTGGGTTTTGTTCACATGGAGTTCAACTGCTTTTTCCTGCCTCTCTAATTTCCTTTATCTTCCTGTACCTTTTATTTCTTGCTTGCCATTTTGCTCTCACATTCTCACACTTTTATCTTCAAATCAGAAAAGGAGTTGAGGCTTATAGATTATAAAATATGTGTTCCTAACATGACTATCTTGGATAGCTTCTTCTAACTTCACTAAGCAGAATGTATCCCCGCTCTGGGCATCCATATTCTTTCCCACATTAAATCAATTGCAGCCATTTGCTGTCCTCTAGAACTTAATTCCTTGACAAAAAGATTAAGTCTGGGACTTCATATTTTGAACTAGGTGATAATGAATACACAACATATAAAAATTCACAGGGTGGGGTTAAAACAGTGTTTAGAGGGAAGTTTATAGCTCTAATACTTATATTAGGAAAGAAAACAAGTGTAAAATTAATGATATAAGTTTTAACATTAAGAAGCTAGAAGAGGTAAGATAAAATTATAACCAAAGTAAAATAAGAAGAAAATATTTTATGCACAAAAAAGTTGAAATCAATAAAATATAAAAACAACAGTGAAAATCAGTGAAGACAAAAGTTGGTATTTTTGAACAGAAAAACCATGCTCATAGATTGGAAGATTCAGTATTATAAAAATATAAGTTTTCCCTGAAATGATCCTTATATTAAATGTAATAACGATCAAAATCTCAACAGGCATTTTTGAAGAAATTGACAAAATGATTCTAAAATTCAAGTGGAAATGTAAAGAATCTGAAATTGCCCAATCTTGTAAAAGAAGAACGAAGTTGAAGGACTTACAATACCTGACTTAAGGAATTATTTTAAAACTTCAATAATCAAGATTTTTTTATTGGCATAAGAATAGTTATATGGATCAATGGAACAGAATAGAGAGTCCAGAAATAGACCAACACATACATGGCCAGTTGACTGTCAATCAAGGCATGTAGTCAATTGATTAAATACAAATTATTTTAATAATGGTGATAGGTCAATAGAATAAAATGAATAGGCAAGTTACAGACTAAGAATTATATTTATAGTACTTATATTTGATCAAGGACTTCTATCCAGAATACATAAATTAATGAATATAAATCAGCAATGAGAAGATGGAAAACTCAATAAATATTAACAAAAGACTTAAGCACACATTTTATGAAAGAAGATACATGGATGGCCAATAAGCACATGAAAAAATGCTCAGCATCACTAGTCCCCAAAGAGAAGCAAATTAAAATAATAATCAGATTTCTGTTCATACCCACTAAATTGGCTGCAACCAAAAATACTGGCAACACTAATGCAGGATAGGACATTCAGCAACTGAGACTTACAAGTATATAAGGAGTATATTACCAGAGGTGATGCAAAGTAGCATAACCACATAGGAGGTAGTTAGACAGTTTCATAATGACCCAGGAATTTCACCCTTTCAAATTTAGCAAAGAAAAATGGAGACATATTTCAACAAAGTACTTGTATAATATTGTTCATATTGTCATATTTATGGTAGCCCTGAATTGGCAACAACTACAATATATGTTAATTGGAGAATAAATAAACAAATCAAGGTTTATTCATACAATAGAATATCATTCCCACACACACAAAAAAAGAAGTACTGATATGCACAACTCCATGAGTAAATCTCATATACATTTTGTTGGGTGAAAGAATGAAACACAAATACATATATTCTGTATGATTCCATTTATATTAACTACAAGAGCAGGTAAATTTAATGTGTGGTGCTAGAAATCTGCAAGCGGTTGTCTCTGCAGATGAGGAGAAGTGTAAAAAGTGACAAAAGAAAAGTTTTGCAGGTAATGGAAATAGGTATCTTGTTTTGGGTGATTATTACAGAATTGCATAAATTGTCTAAACTCATGAAATAGACACTATATGTGTATTTCAATTACACTTCATAAAAGACTAAAGGCTGTTGCCTTTTTAAAAAATCTTTTTCACGGTGGCTCACGCCTGTAATCCCAGCACTTTGGGAGGCCGAGGCAGGCAGATCACCTGAGGTCGGGAGTTTGAGACCAGCCTGGCCAACATGGAGAAACTCCATCTCTACTAAAAATACAAAATTAGCTGGGCATGGTGGCACATGCCTGTAATCCCCGCTACTTGGGAGGCTGAGGCAGGAGAATCGCTTGAACCTGGGAGGCGGAGGTTGCGGTGAGCTGAGATCACCATTGCACTCCAGCCTGAGCAACAAGAGCAAAACTCCATTTCAGAAATAAATAAATAAATAAAATCTTTTTCTAACATATAGTAGATGCTAAGATAGTTTGCTGATGCCTGCTGAACATATACCTTGTGCTACAATCGACACTGGATGCTTTAGACCCTATACATTGGTATACTTGCAACTAATCTGGACAGACCTTCCGCAAGTATCACAGATGGTACAGAAAGGTGAACACTTGTTCAAAGCCACAGACTAGATGGAGCATAACATTTAAACACACATTTTCTAACTCCTAAAAGGAAGATGCTACTCAAACTACATTTCTTGAATGGATGAGTAAGTTCATAAATGAATGAATAAAGAGAAGATAGCATCCAAGTTGCAAAATAGATATAGGGTCTTTTGAGCAGGTACAAAAGATATAGAGATGAATGATTATCCAATGTGAGTGGCTGAGAGGGAAGGAGGCTTACAAAATCCCCAATCCATACTCACGTGGAAGCAGAGAAAGAACAGAATTTCTTGGATCATGGCTACAAGGGCTCTTGCTGTTATAGAGAGCAGTATTTTTGCTTTGCACTACACAGGGCTATCTAGTCTACATCCCCTTCCATATCTTGGTCAAACTCTCTTGATCTTTGAATCTAGCATCCCAAAAGTGCACAGAAGTGCCCACCCATATAAGCCTCGCCCTACTTCTCAGTAGGAATTTCCAGCATGCCATGGAACCAGGAGCTGCCACATATGAGGCCAACTTCCTCACCTTGCCCTTTCCAAATGAAGGGTTATCTGGGTGCCAAAGTTCCTGATCCTACTGTGGAAGACTGCCATCCTTCTAGGGATCAGCTTCTCTGCCACAGGTGTAGTCCCTGACACTAAGCAGAGATTGTGTGCAATGAGAGCAACCCTGTTACAGAGCAGAAAGGAAGAGAAAGCGAATAAATGTTGGTGCTAAGAGGTGATGCCCACATGCAATCTAGTGCAAGAGCAAGCATTAGACCAGGAGTGGAAATAAGATTTGCGGGCCCATTTTCTTCCTGCATTTGCATTCACACTTTATGACTTCAGCTATATTTACTGACAGAAAAACACCACCTTTTGTTACCACCAAATGCTGGCCTAAAAAGATACTTCCCTCTGAAAAATACTATCTCCAGCCACAGGGTCTGAAACAAGCTACTCATCTATTTATTCAAAGGACTGAATAAGCTGTGAAGATTGACATTTAAACTATTAACGCTATATTCTACTTGACAGTGTTATTAAATATTAGGTCTGATTTATGGAAAGGCTTAATCAACTGGTGATCCAGGTCAGCCCTGGCACTGGGCAGAAATTGGGTTATGCTGGATGTTGCTTGATGAAGTTGATCAAGCTAAAGAAAAAAAATCCCATCAGCAATATTAAAGTCTGACTTCATGTGATGAAGTTATTATCATATAAATTTGAACCATTTGCCAGGCCAATTCTGCATCTCCAAGTTTCTGTAATGGATATTTTAATAGTTTGAAAATCAAAAGATAAAGTCACAGACTTCAATAACCTTTGCTATGACACATGGAAGGAGCAGTATGGCTGCTAAACATGGAAGTCAGGCATATATCTTGCCACTTTGGTGTCAGAGAGGGAAGGAAATAGAGGCACAAGCAAAATGTACACAAGGGGGTGGAAACACATTGAGGTGTAGAAAAGACGAGATTACCACCCCATGGGAAGAGGCACGAGTGGAATGAGGTTTTGGTGACCATGCCACTAATTACTCACATCTGTGTGAACCTTAGCCAAGTCACTTAGTTTCTCTGAGGCTCAGGTCCAGTTTCTACATCTTGGAGATAATAATCAAGTAGTCGGTTTCAGATGAAAGTATGAATGCATGTAAATGATCTGGCCCAGTGCCTGGGATGTAGAGATTGCTCAATAGATTTCAGAGGGAGGCCAGGCCAGACCAGCAGTAAAGCTGGGTCTCAGCGCAGTGAGGGAGAAGTTTCCAGGCCACCAGAGACAGACCTAGAGGACAAAAAGGGGCAGAGCCCGGATGCTATTCAACGGTGCAGAGCTGGATGATGCACTACTAGAGGCACCTATGAGCTGTTAAATGGTGCAGAGCTGCAGCAGGAGCTTCTTAGCAGAGATGCCTGTGCACTATTTGATTATATAGAGTTAGAGGATATGCTCCCTACTAATGGTGCCTGTGTGCTATGAGATGATGCACAGCTACAGGCAATGTCCCTGGGTTGCCCCTGTCCAGACCAGGAGTCCTCAAACTTTTTCTATAAAGGGCCAGATAATAGATATTTTAGGCTTTGTGGGCCACATATCTTTATCACAACTACTCAACTCTGCTGAAATAGCAGGAAAGCAGCCATAAACAGCATGTAAATAAATGAGTTGGGCTGTTGTCCAATAAACCTTTATAAAAACAAGCTGTAGGTCAGATTTGACCAGGAGTCAGAGTTTGCCAATCCTTGGTCTAGTCTTTCCTTAGGCCTGATAAGTGCATGTGGCTGAGAGAAACGGAAGCAGCCTCTCTCCTCTCTCTTTGTGACACATCTTTCAGGACCAGGAAAATCTTCTCCCTTACAGAAGGTTATCAAGAGACAAGCCTGACAGGAACCCTGGAGCTATTTCTCTTGTCCCTTCCACCATGAAATCTAAAGGGGGTAACCTGCTAACTGATGACAGGAATCTTGTCTCCGATTTATCTGCCTCTGCTCAGTCAGACAGCAAACAGATGACTCATTCAGGAACAATCCTGTATTTATTGAGACTTACTGGGTGCCAGGCAGGTTTGTTGTGAAAATGGTGTGTTGTCGTCTCTTAATAAATAAAAATTCCCTCCTGTTCCAAATTCTTTCATCTTTGCCTCATCAAAGCCTGACAAGGTCTCACTTGTCCTTATCTTAGTGGCCACTGGCATGGTAAATCCTTTATTTGCATCTTTTGCTACTGATTTTTTAACATTATTGTATTCATGAGTAAGACTCTATTTCCAGAGGGTTAGTGATTTCCTAAGTGCCACCAATGGACAAGGAGTAGCTAGAAAAATAAGGAAGTGTTTCTCTAATGACTCATCTCCAGGTTTATTACCCTCCAGAGGCTCAATGATGTGTATTGGCATGAAGGAGTGGATCTCAGAGGCGAGCCAACCATGACATAACCCTTCTCCAGTTCTGATACCGTGGACAAGTGATCACTCTAAACAATTCCCCACCTAAATTGGTTTCATGTCATTAAAAGCCTTAGGACTCCCAAGGAGAAAATAACAGCATACCATCCATACCAACCTCCTTGACTTTTGCAGCAATTAGACATTGCTCCACTACCAAACACTCCCTGAAAATGGAGCTGAGTCATCAAGGAGCAACTGAAAATCAGAAGTGTGATTATCTGTCAATTGCTAAAGAAGTTTCCAGGAGAAGCCCCTCGGTGGGCTTCTCCTCACCTTTGCCAGGCTGCCTACACTGCATGGCAGCAGACTCTGTTTGGGATTTGGAGAGGCTGTTCCTCCCTGAATACTAGGCCCATAATACCCTACTTGCTGGATTTGTTCTGTAGTTTCTGGATTCAAGTCGTCATCCTCACTTAGGGCACAGCCATCTCCAGACTGGTCTGCTCTCTGGGCTCAGGGATTCACAAGGTTACTGAAGCCATAGTCTGGGGGCAGGGAGCAGAGGGGCCGCTCCATAGGAGTAGGGAAGAAGACAGATTTCAGACAAGCATTTAAGTCCAGTAGTCATCCAAACAGGCACACGAAGAAGGAGGATTTGAGAGTAAATCTGAGCTTTTCTTCCACTAAAAAAAATGCAGCACACTTCATTGTCTGACAATACTATAAACTCACTTTTATGACACTAGTTATAAAACCCTTAACATTTGTCTAGTGCTGGCAGTCAGTTTTTTTTTTCTTAGAGATCCAAATGCAAGAGAGAGATTTGTGATCCCAAAGCCAGCTTGGGGTTCATAAAATGAAGGTACCATAAAACTAATCCATCTTATGTACTAACAAAGATTAAATTCTATACCATGAAGTGATAGGCATTGATAAGAAATCCTTTGTTTGCATCGTTTGCTACTGATTTTTTAACATTGTTGTATTCATGAGTAAGACTAAATATCACCAGACGGTGAGTGGTTTCCTAAGTGCCGCCAATGGACAAGGGGTAGCTAGAACAATGATGAGGTGTTTCTCTAATGACTCATCTCCAGGTTTATCACCAACCAGAGGGCTCAGTGGTGTGTGTTGGCCTTTCTGAGGCATAAGCAGGCACATGTCGCCTGCAAAGAGGGAAGGGGTGGGTACTTGTGAGGAGCCCAGCACTGCCTTGCTTGGTCTGGACTTACGCATTTGGAAGAGTAGGGAGGTGAGCAGAATGAGATTAATGACAACCTTTGCTTCAGGATACCCATACATTTCTCCAGGAATGGCTCACTTTTTGAATTAACTCATTAACTAATTTTCTAAAATCTCCTGCTAATCTAAACCTAACACCAACTCTGACTTACCAACAATGTCCTTCTCTCTTCTCTGCTGCTCTGGCTCTCCCACCTGTAGCAACCACTGTGGTGAATCTTGTATTTTATCATTGCTTTGGATGTGTATGTGTATATTTTATACATTTTTAAGAGGGTATAATATTCTGTGTTACCTTCTATTAGTTGACCCGTATGAAATTGCCTTAATGTTTTATTTTACTCAATATTATTCTGCTAAGATTCATCCATTTCATTGTAGACAACATCTTTCTTTATATTGTTAATGGTCATTTGGATGGTTTCCAGGGTTTTGGTTCTACAGGAAGTGCTACTATGGCCTTTCTTGTCTCCAAAAGTGCATGTGGACATTTATTTTGGGTGGATACATTGGAGTGTAATTGCTGGGCCATACAGTATGTAAGTGTCCCATTTTATAAGAGAATGCTAAGCTCTTCTCCAAAGTGATTGTACTGAGCACACCCCCATCAGCAATTAACCAACTGTTACTCCACGTCTTCTTCACCGCCTCTCATTTTGTGCCAAACTAATTGGTGTAAAATGATATAATCTTTATGGTCCTGATTTGTATTTCACAGATCACTAATAATTTTGAACATCTCTTCATTTGATTACTGGCCATTTGTGTTGCCTCTTCTGTGGAAGGCCTGTGCAAGCCTCTTGCCAGTTTTCTATTAAGTTGTTTGAGCTTTTCTTATTAATATATTCTTGACAGTAATCTTGCATTGGTTATATGTATTGTAAACATCCCCTCCCAGTGTGTGACCTACCTTTCTATTTTATTTAAAGTGGCTTGTAATGAATAGAACTTTAACAAAGTCAAAAGTAGCTATCTTTTTTTTTTCTAAGCAGTGCTTTTTTTTTTAGCATTATGCAATGAATCTTCTTAAGACCCTGTGTGGATGACAGTATTGGCTCTCTCTGAGAGTCAAAGAAAGCCAGGAAAGGGAACGCGAAGGCCATTTGGCCCAGGCCTCACATGCACAAAAGGCCTTAAATCAACATTGTGTTCATTATCTTCAAATGAGGTCACCTACAGCCACAAAGATTCACTGTCAGGGGTGAAAGAAGATCCTGCAGCTTAAGGCTAGAGCATCATCCTTTGCAGTGCAGTGAGAACTACGAGGTTTTAATAAATCTTGTAAGCATGAGAATAGCACAGTTACACTGCATTCTATTGTTATTGTCAAAGTATCACTTTGTTAAATCTAAACATTCAAAATTTATCATGATATGTATTTTCAGATCATTTAAGTCTCTAAGGAGACCACCAAATGGAAAGTTGCCCAGGTCTTTCTCAAATCCAAGAGTTCCCAAACAAGGAGAATGGTGTGCTCCATTTCACAATGTTGGTAACTTACGAAACTGGAATTCACACCTAAATATGTCAAGCTCCAGAGCCTAGACATCTTCTGCTGTTCAATGTGGCTAAATGGCAATGAAAAATCATCCTGAGCATGGGATCCTGTACAAGTCATCCTGTGCACGACCATCTTCCCAGTGGGCCTCACTCTACATGGCACCACAGCTAGGTGCCCCAGCCTGTCATGGGATAGAGGCTGCACTCTGCCTGATGCCCATGTGTTTCCAAAGCAAAGGGGGACTCAGGCCTCTCTCCCTTGACCCCTCTGGGGCACATCAGGGAGGGGCTGGCAGATTGCTGAGGACCATGAAGGGCAGGGCGGTGGGCTTTACTGGCCCCAGAGCTTGCCCCAGGCTGTCCTGACATCCACTGCTCTCTGCAGGAAGGCCAAGAAGTCACTGGAGTGGCTGGGGGGGCAGCACAGGGATGAGTGTGTGTGTGTGTGTGTGTGTGTGTGGCAAGGTGTTAGTGTGCCTGTGAGGGTATGCATGAGGAGACTCCACAGAGGTGGCAGGATGGGTCTGGGAGGGAAAGGATGGGAGGAGACACTGAGGCAGCCAGTCTGCTCAGAGAGGCAGCGGTCCTGGCCAGGGGGCTGTACATGTCTCTCGCCCCATTCTCTAATGACCTCAGGACAGTAGCCATTGCATGTGGGGTTCACTGGACAGGAGGACCCCACCACCAGCAGCAAAATCATAACACCTGCCTTCATCCCACCACATTCTTCTTCATTGACCTCCAAGGGCTCTACAGCTGCACGTGTTGGATAAATGCCAGTTCCCCAGCTTGTAACCCAAGGAGTCATGAGTCAGAGCCACCCGATCCTCAGCTGTATAAGAGGATAATGCTGAATTCGAGTCATTGTGGGAAATTGACTGAAACAAATGAGCAACATCTAACAGTGCTGAAGAGCATCATGGCCTTTCTCCTCCCTTCCTCCCTCTGGCACTGGTATCTTCCCATCTGGCCTCCTAAGGCTTTGCCCGGTAAGGCTCTCTGCCCTTATCCCCATCTCTGAGGTACAACTCTTCTCACAGTACGGCCCCAGAGATGAGTCCAGGCCACCTGGCTGACCCTTACCCCCTTTCCCCGTATGCAGACTTCCTCAACCAGACCCCCAAGCTAACCACAGTGGGCCCACCCTCTCCCCAACACCCTCCCTTCACTCCTGCAACTCTCGCTTGGCACTCTGCTACTGCTTTTGCCAATTGTTCTCACCTCGGGTGGACAGGCCTCTCTGTGTCACCCTCCTATGAGCCCATGAGGAGGGTGGGCCAAAAGTCAGGCTTAATCTGCCTGCTCCTCCCCAGCCAGCACCACTCTACAAAGTTGGAAGGTCCATAAGAAGCAGAGCAGCTGCTTCTGAAAGGGCATCCACCTAAAGAACGTGTGCGATGGATCGCCTTGCAGGTAACAGGGCTGCTCAGAGGCAGATGCCCCTGGAGGTGTCTCCCACCTGGGGGCTGACCACCCCGTGGCCCTGTTACAGTGCACGTGCCCAAGCGCCAGCTCCTGCCTACCTTCCTGATGCCTTCTGAAGGACTGGACACGCAGTTGTCAGCCCCTCCGTTCTTGCTGATGGTCCGCCAGAGTTCAGCAAACGTGCTGTCCTGCTCCAGGGGGTTGGTGCCCTTGGCTCGGAAGTACTCATATACAGCAGAATCCCGGACAGTGCCATAAGACATTTCCACTTGTTTGGACAGGTCCTGGAAAGTCCTGAAATGCAGAAAGGCAGCGAGGCATGAGTACATGCTGTGCATTGCACACTGCAAGGATACAAATGGGCTGCAAGGCCCTTCTGAACTCCAAGCCCGGCATGGCCCACTATCCACATTCTTCATTCCCCATCCCCCAAAGTTCAAGTCCTTCAGCCCAGAGTGGGACTTGCAGCGCCTCATTCAATTACAGGTGTGTTTTCTCAGTGCAGATTAATTCAATAAGATGACTGGGCACCTAAAACCAGGTTCTTTACTGAACTGGAGGGATAAAAGGATGAGTAAGACATGATTCCTGCCTTCAAGGAGTTTATAGTCCAGCTATAGAAGCAAACATATAGACAGAGAATCATAGTATCAAAGAGTCAGGGCAACATGGGAGGCTGTATGCTGCGGATCTCCAACTCAGACGCCTGCAGAGGCTGGGCAGGAAAGAGGCCTATGTTGGCAAGATGAACGATAATGATGGCTGGCCTGTGACACTCAGAGACAGCATGAGGAAGAAACGCACTCAGAGACCAACTGACTCAGGGTAAATTAAGAGGCATCCCCTCCAAAGCTTGCAGCTGTGCTGGGGTCTAGCCAAGTATTGACTTCGAATGCTCCCCTCCCCATGACCTCCTCAACCAATTTGGTCTTTGAAAAAATAAAAAAATTGGATTTTTATATCTCTCCTGATTTTAAAATGTTGATAATTATTTAAAAGATGATGAAAAAAACAAAGCACTTCTGAGGGCCTTGGGTTTGCTCTCCTTAGAGGAGTGGCAGGTGGCTCCAGCCAGGTGCACATTTGAGGGGGGATTTCACAAGGAACGGCCATCAGCAGCCCAAGAGCAGACTTCTGAGCTAGGGGCAGAGGAGGAGACTCCTCTGGGGAAGGACAAATAGTCACAGCAGGAAGGACCAGTCGCTATGAAGATTTTACTTGCCTCAGAAGAGCGTACTTGGCTCAGCGTGTTGACAGAACGTCATGTACCAAACAGAATTGCAAAATAAAAAAAGCCCAGTGGGGAGCCAGCCTCTCTCTCCAGGTTCCAACTTGATCACTCTTTACTTATTTCTCTTCTAGAAATCTCAGTCTCTCCTCTTTAACAACCCACATCATCATCCCTCCCTCTCTCTGAGTCACCATTTCCACAGGAAGAGCCAGTCTTCTCAACTGGATCTACACAACCCTCCATCTTCCGGTCTCATCTCTGGCTGTTCTCCCCACCTGCACACAGAACCATAGCCAACCTTGAAATGAGAAATCCCACACACTCCCCATCCATGGCACCAGGCCACAGTGCTCCCTCTGCCTGGAATCCCTTTATCTCCCTCCTCTAACAACACCTCTACAAGCCCGTTGAAAATCCAACAGCCAACAGCTGCCTCTTTCCTTGGGGAGCCATCCGCACCCCAGCCTCCCTGTGCCCTCTCCACACCTTGTGGGCTTCTATGGCAGCATGAGCTCACCGGGACTTCAGAGGGCCATGTGCCAGAGCAGAGACAAGCAAGGGCTCTGGAGTCCAATTGCCTACCTTGCCTGTCTGTCCCCCACAACCAACACTGTGGTCCAGAAAAGTTAGTTAACTTATCCGTGCCTCAGTTTCCAAATATTTTAATAATGGAGATAGAAGCAGAGCCTGTAGCAGAGGATTGCTATGAGGATTAAATGGGATTTGTGTTCAGCTCTCAGAGCAGTTCCTGATGGTAACCAGTAGTGATTATTCTGGGTCCCCAGTAGACTATAAGAATTTGGAGGAATGGAGCTGAAGGAGCCCCATTTTTGCATCCACTGCCCTGGACCAACGCTGACAGCAGCCTCCCCGGCCAGCACACAGAAGGCCCAGCTGTGGATGCCTCCCCTTGCTTCGGAGACACATGCCACAGCACTCCTTAGGTCCCTGCTATGTGGCCCAGAAACAGAGCTCAGTATTCGTTTCAATACATTACAGATGAAAGGAAACATAAAATAACAAATTCGATGAAGAAATCTTTCTAATTATTGTTCATTATTTATATCTAATTGAAGCAAGATGTTCCTTTGCCTGAAGGGCCCCAAGGGTTGTAACTCTGCCGTAATTTGCCTGTAATGAAAGGAGGGGGATCTTTTTTTTTTTCCACATTTTTAAAATTTTTTCTCATGGTAATACAAACAAACACGAGGCTTTGATGAATGAGAAACATCAGGATAAATTATACAGTTGAGTCTAAATACTGAGCTGCTCTAAATTGCTGCAGTTTTCATGAGTGTGGAATGAATGGGTAACTGCCAGGGATCTCCAAACACTGTTTCATCCCCACATTTGAAATGGAGATTTTCTCTCTCCACTTGGTATTATTCATTAAGGCGCCCACGGCCAGAGGCTCAGGGAACGTCTCTGGTTAACAAGCAGGCAGCCCAAATGTTTATGGCTTCATGTTCATTTCTGTTTTAGTAGACCTCACTGTTCCCACCCCAAAATGCCACCCCCATCTTCTTTGAATCTTACTGCTCAGACCCACGGCCACAGCTTTCATCCATCCATCACCTCTAATAGCCACAAATTTGTGCAGAGGAATCTCTCCCATCTCAGACATGCACTCGATCTTTCAACAAAGGTTTCCAGGCTCACTAATGCCCAGCACAGGGGGCACTACCATCTTATTCCAGGGTGAATAAACTTATGGAAGGCTATCTGGGGTGTTGAACACAAGGGCCCAACTATTCATCCACCAAAGCCATCATCTCCCTGAGGAAGTCATCCTCTTGTCACAGCACCCAGTTTTGGAGGGGACACACAGGGAGGAATAAAGGAGAATGGGGACAGCCAGGCATCCAGACTGCCAAGCCAACAGTGGTAGTCAGTGGAAGACAGATGTTGAAGTCAGATAGGACGCCCATTCTAGCAAGTGAGGGAGGCTTCACCAGGAGGAGGCTGTGTTATCAGCACACTCAATTTAGAACTTTTCTGAAGTCAGTCTCTTCAGCAACAACTGCTACAAAGTGTCCAGGTACCCCCACCACAGAGAGATGAAGGAGACGTGCCTATCACAGGTGTGGTCTCTATTAACCTCACATGCACGATGCAACTTGCTGATGTCATTCAACCAGTTATTTCACCAACAGTTCCTGAATGTCTACTAGGTAAGGCACAGTGCACACCAAGCAAGGAATACATGGCAGGCATCATCAAGGGGCGAGTGATCAGAGAAGTAAAGCAACAGTGACCAAACAATATGAGATATATTAAAATACAGGTCTGTATGGGGGATCCCAGAAGCACAGAGAAGTAGCTAACCCATGGGTAGGAGCTAAAGAAATGCTTCCTAGAAGAGGGAACATTAAGCTGAGTCAGAAAGGGTGAGTAGAGGCAGCGAGATGGAGAACCAAGGGGTAGAATGTTCCTGGAAGAGAAGATATTACCTGAGAAGGCATTTGGGTAATGAAAACACATGGCTTATTCTGGACACATACCAGGGAGCAATTCACATCAGCCAAAAATATGTAGGTGATGGAATTTGACAGTCCTGGGTGTGGATGCTGCTTTGAATGCCTTCACTGTTTGACATAGACCAGTAGCTCTCAAAGTGTGATCCTCAGAGCTGCAGTGTCAGTAGCACCTGGGGCCTTATGAGAAATGCAAATCCTTGGGCCCCACTCCAGACATACTGAGTCAGAAACTCTGAAGGTGGTGCTCAGCAGTCTATGTTTCCACAACCCTCCAGGTGATTCTGATGCATGCAAGCTCCAGAACCATGGACTGGGGCAAGTTCTATAATCTCTGAAGCCTTAGATTTCATAACTCATACCCAACTCACAGGGTTGTTGAAGATTAATGATCACAGACATATACCTGGTACACAGTTAATGTTTAATAAATGCTAGCCCTTCTAGTAGACTGCTTATCAGTAGTTCAAATGGTTGGAACACTGTGCTCATGTGAAGGAGTCATGGGTAACAGGCCAGAGTAGTCACACCCAGATGGAAGCAAGCATGGGCAAGCCGCATGTCTAAGCTTCCAGGCTCATGTGATTGGAGCCTATCTCCTCAACTGCCCATCTGTCTCCCCAGTGAGAAGCCTATGGCCCATCTTGTTTCCATCTTGCTGCCAAGGTACATGCAAATGCTCCCCCATCAGCCCCCAGTCTACTGCCTTGTCAACAACACACTTTAGGCACTCAGGATACCTAAAAGGATGACTTGCAGAAGTCTGAACCCAGGATGAGCATAGAGACACCAAAACTCCTCTGGCAGGCAATCTGGACTTTTGCTTTGTGGGTCGTCATAGTAACAGCCTAGCAGAGGCTACCCTGGGAAAGTAATGAACTCCTAGGCAAGGAACTGCTCAGGAAGAACGGCCTCAAAAGCATCAGCCCCAGGCTGCCTGCCAGAGTCTGCACTGGCTCATGAAATGTCATGGTGCAAGCATGTGTATCACTTGAGCCTCACTTCTGTTTGCTGCCTATCTTCTTACTTCAACTTTTGATAATATTTTGTGTTGGAATCCTCCCCTGACAAAGCCTACCCTCTCCTCCAATCTTACGTTTAAACCAATATCTTCTACTCAAGTGTGTCCTACCAAAAGTGGATTTGGGACCAATGCAAGCTGTTTCTCTGTATCTCCTGACCTGGATTACCGATTTTTGAAATTTCCACATGCTGAAAGCATAGCTGATACCTTTGAG
Source organism: Homo sapiens (assembly GCF_000001405.40). Classification (NCBI taxonomy): domain Eukaryota; kingdom Metazoa; phylum Chordata; class Mammalia; order Primates; family Hominidae; genus Homo; species Homo sapiens. Next base: position 85,652,047 of record NC_000010.11, read on the forward strand.
CACATCAGATTGTCTTGCAAAAGGACTTTGTAAGCATCCCTTGCCTCTGAGAACACTGTCCTCTAATTAAACATGCACCTCTAGGGAAGACCCACCATGCATCCTTCAGCTGTGGCCGAGGATATTCTCCCCAGCTTGGTACCACCTCCTGTCCTCCCCACACCTTTCTCCGTAAATCAATCTTACTATTTCCTAGATATATGTTCATTAACAAAGAGATAAATGTGTTTGCAGTATGAGAAAAATCAATAATACAGAATTTATAAATACATCTTTGCATGTTACAAAAATATTTACATTGGCAATGGAGATAAACACTTGTAACAAGAGCAGAATCAATATTCAGTATACGTAAAACGGATTTCAACAACGGTGGGGATGTCATAAGCATGGGCCTGATACATGTGGATCTGGAAGTCCTATTATTCTTCCTTAAGGAGAAGAGAATGTGGTGGAGTGGCTCAAAAGACACGGGAGGGTGGGGATATCCATCCTGGTGACTTGAAACTTTCATAGCTACAGCCTACAGATGCCTTTACTATCATTCCAGCAGTCTTGATTTTCTATCTCATGTTTGGCTCTACAAGAGATGATGCTGCAATCATCAAAGCAATCTGGAGTGCCTGGATAGGGCTCCACAACTGGCTTCCAGAGGGCACCATGACCCACCCTGCTGCACACTGATAAGCCTCTCCTGGGTTTCTTCCCCAGCGCCCCCCAGCCTCTCTAATCTGTCACCCATGCAGGGGAAGGCTTCCTAGGTGTCTTCCTTCTTTCATTCACTCGTCATTCAAAAAACCCTATTTCCTGTGCATCTGTCTGCATTAGACAGTGCTCTATGTCTGGGGATAGGGCAAGAATGGCACAAAGTTCCTACTTTTGTGGATTTTACATAGTTGAGATGAGACAAAGAAACAAACATCAATGACAACAGCAACAATACAATAACTAGGTAATGCCAGGGTCAGCAAACTTTCTGGAAAGGGACAGATAGTGCCTATGTGGTCTCTGAGGGCCACACAAGACTCAGTCACATATTCTTTGCTTTTGTTTTTGTTTTGTTTTCCAACGCTTTAAAATGTTTTTAAAAAGGAAAAGCAGTCTTGACTTGCAGGCTGTGACAAAGCAGGCTGCAGGCCCTCTGAAGGCCTGTGGGGCATCGTCAGCTGACCCCTGCTGCTATGTAACAAGTGATGAAAAATGCTATGAAGATTAATAAAGCAGAGCAAGGGTGAGCCAAAATGATGGAGGCATTGATTACATAAAGTAGCCAGGGTGGATTTTGAGCCATTGGAGTTGACATCTAGGGCATGTGTTTCTCTAGTATGTCCTCGCACTGGACTAAGAGGAGCAGAGAGGAATGAACTCGCAGAGGATGGGGCTGAGGCCTGCTGGGGCTGTCCTGCCAAGGAGCTGAGACAGGGTGGCCAAGGAGCCAGCTTATGAGCCTCTCCTACCTTGCAACATTTACCTGGGGACCTTCCAGGAAGCCTAGGAAAGGGGATGCTGGGGTGTACACAGGAGCTGTGGTTAGAATACTGTCTCCGCCAAAACTCATATTGAAACTTAATACCCAATGTGGCAGTATTGAGAGGTGGGACCTTTAAAAGGTGATTGGATCATGAAGACTCTGTCTTGATGAATGGATTAACCCAATCATGGACTAATCAGTCATCATGGGAGGGGAGATGGTATTTTTATAAGGAGAAGAAGAGAGGCTTTAGCTGGGATGCGAGTAGGCTTGGGCCCCCGTCCGTGTGATGCGCTGCACCACCACATGACACTGAAGGGAGAAGGTGCACACCAAATGCAGCTGCTAGACCTTGGACTTCTCAGCCTCCAGAACTGTAAGAAATAAATGCCCTTTTTAAAAAAAATAAACTACCCAGTTTAAGGTATTCTGTTATAAGCAAGAAAAAAAAGACTAAGAAAACAGTTCTCCTTTGTATCCAAAGCCTAGTCGGTGTGATTCTGAGTAGTGAGCAGAGGGACTGCAGATCCAAACACTGTATGAGGACACTTAGTGACCCACAGGGTGAGGGTTGCAGAGCCCACAGCAGGAAAATGCACGCTTCCATAGGTCACAGAGCCCTTCTTCAAACCTATGCCTGAAAGCCAGCCTCGGAGGGCCAGCTGAGGTGTCCTCCCTCCTCACCTTCCTTCCCTCCATGGCGTTTTCTCTCCAAATCCCACTTCTTCAATTGCTATTGAAATTAAAAGACACCCAAAATAAACTGCTAAAAACTCAAAGCATTTGTATATATTTACATACTTGTAAAAAGTAACAATTAATAAATGTAAATAAATATAAAAACAAAAGTAAAAGGGATAAGCAGTGAATGCCTGCAAGACTTCCACTTCTTACAAACACATTTTTGTAAAATTTGCATTTTTATTACGTTATAAATAAAAAATGTGATCTGAACGATTTTAAATATCCTGCTGCTGCCCAAGCATCAGTTCTGGGCCTTGGGAACTGAGCTCTGTGCTCTCTTCTATCCTCTATGTCCACCCTTCCTCCTGGGTTAGCCTCCCATCAGCCAAGATCCATTGAGAGGCAGGAGGTCTCTCTACCAGCCCTATCAAACACCCTGTCCACCAGCCATGAGGAGGCTGTGATAGTTGTATCTTCAGTCCCTACAGCAAGACAAACATGTGAGACTAATTCAAAGTGGTCCGAGGCCATCCCAGGCACTCAGGGCCCATCAGTACTGAGGCTCCCACACCAAGGCAGGCTGGAGTTTCCTCACTTCTGCACCTTCTGCCTGGATTCAACCCAGGCCTGGTGCCCTGGTCCCAAATCAGACTGTGAATTCCTAAACATAGGCATATGTTATATGTGTTTCTGATTTGCCAAACTCAGCCTAGATCCTGTATGTAAGTAGAGCTCAGTAATAGGAGCTGTGAAAATCATCCTGATGAGGTCAAATAACTGTGGGCCAGGTGCTAAGCCAAGTCAGGAGCTCAATGTCCACACTATTCACTAGGTTAGTTCTGGGGCTTCTATTTCCCCCAGCAAAGGAGGCTTAGTGTAGAGCCTTCAGTGCTTCAGTGCTGCCTCCTCCAGCTCTTCTTGGCTACCCTGCTTTTGGTGTGCCAGCCTGGAAGACCTCTTGCACACTCAGGCCTCCAAGTCTTCACTCAGGTTCATTGCCTGCCTTCTCTGCTGTGCCCTGACTAAAACCTACCCACCCTGAAGGAATCAGCTCAGCTGTCATGTCGTATTGAAAGAGTGGATCCATGCCCACTGGATCCAAGTCCCTGTGTGTTCTGGGCTTGGTCCTATCCTAATGTTTTCCCTTTTAAGCTTCCTGTGCTGTCTGCCCACCTCAACCTTGAGCTCCCCCAGGGAATGGACTCTGTGTCCATCTCTGAATTTCTATCACCCCACATACAGTCTGACAGACATTAGGAGCTGAGTTCATGTTTTCTGGAAGAATGAACTCTGTTTCAAAACAATTTTGTGTTTAGAACTGAATGGCTGAATATGGCTGGGAGAAGATCCAAGCTAAACACCAGCATGGTGATTCTAACTTTAGAATCATGACCACTAGCCTCCAGGAGACCCTTAAAGCTGCTTGAGATCTTCTAAATCTCCCTGTGCACTTCCTCCTCCCACGCTCTCAGATGACTCTCAGACAATGAGGCTGCTTCTTTTTTCCTAAGAAGGGAGAAGCCATCAGTGGAGAACTTTGCTTTTCTAGAGAACTCCCTTCTCGAAAACTAGTGAATAGTTGCCTTCCATCCTTTTAAAATGACAGCTTTGTTTTTACTCCTATGCATGTCTAACTCTGTTTGTCTCCTAGATCCCAGACATTCTTGCCTTCTCAAAGTACATTGCTCTTCCAGTTGTCACCTCTACCTTCCTCACCATGAAATTATTTCTCTCTGCAGATCATTTCCATTGGCTTGAAAATACATACATACATCTTCTCTCTCTCAAAAAAAAAAAAAGTCCTGTGAGATGACATCCTCCTCCAACCACCCTTCCAGCTCTTCTTCCGGAGAGTTATCTATGATTACTGCCTCCATTACCCTCTTCCCGTTTCTCAGGAACCTGGCTTACTCCAGTTTTCATCCCTCTGCTGATCTGAAACAACTTTCATCAAGGTCATTAATGATCTCCCAAATACAGTGGCCAATTCTCAGTCTTCACATCCCTCCAACCAGTAGCATTTGACAGGTAGCACTCTCCTAGATGCCCTTCCTTCATTTGGCTTCCAGAAATCACTCTTGCTCAGTCCTCCTCCCACCTTGGAGGACCTCCTTATCCATTTCCTAATTCTTCTTTCTGTTCTCAGACTCTGAATTTTGGAATCTTCCAGGGGTCAGACCACTGATCCCTGGGTTGCAGGACTTTTGCCACAATCTCATCATGTCAGTTGTCTGTAGATGCATCTATACATTGATGACTGTAGTGGGACACACCAGCCCTGACCTACCTCATCCACTCCTGGCAATCACCCGTCTGACCACTTCATTTGGATGGCTAATAGATCTTCACACTAAACATGCTCAAACTTGAGCTCTTAAATCACTAACCCCTAAACCATGCCTGCTCTTCCTCTAGTTCTCCCATGTCAATCAAACACTGCTCTATTCTTTGAGATGCTGTAGCCAAGAGCCTTGAAATCACTACTGACCCTTCTCTTTCTTATGTATCGCACATACAAATTTCAGCATTTCCTATCTCTTCTATCAAGATACATCTAGAATCAGATCACTTATCATGACCTTCACTCTGCATCTTATCTGGACATTGAGATAGTCTCTCTAAGAATCTCCTTGCTTCCACCTTTAACCCCTACAGCTATTCCCTAGGAAGGCCAAGCAGAGTGATCCTTTAAAAATCTGTGCCAGATCATGTCACCTCATCATTCAAAGCCCTCCAATGACTTCTTGACTCCAAAGTCAAAGTGTGCATCCAAAGTCCTCACATGGCCTGAAAGGTCCTATGTTATCTGGACCCCAATACATCTGCTCTCGCCGTACCAGCCTCCCTGCCCTCCCACCTTGGGGTTTCTGTGGTTGTTTCTTAACCTTATCCTGGTTTACTCTTCCCTCAGATTTGTAATTGGCTCACTCTTTCAGTGTCTAGGTCGAATCAAATGTTACCTTCTCCAGGACGCCTTTGCTGACAATCTTTTACAAAACACAGCACCCCTTACATTATATGATAAAAATACAAAAAAAAATCACAACTTGACATATATGGCTGCTTAATGTTAGTTCCCCTCCCAGAATAGGACTTGGCTGTTTGTTTTTTTGCTGTATCACCAGTGCCTACAACTTGAGTGACCAATCACCCCAGTTTGCTTGGGAACTAGAGATTTCCTGGATGCAGGACTTTCAGTACTCCAGATAAGTTCTAGCCAAATTGTGATAATATGACCCCTACCTACAATAGTGACCAGCTCATGGTAGACACTCTAATGAACATAGGTTATATGTATGAATCATATATGAATGAGTTGGCCTTTAAAAATATCTAGATTTGATATTCTGTTGGAAAAGTCTTCATCTTGGGTTGACTAGTCTCCCTTCAGGACAACTGTGAGTCAATCATCTGCAGAGAAGCAGGCCTAGTAATAGTTTGAGGTGCTTGAACCAAAGAACTGTGGCCCTGAGCCAGGAGGCACAGCACAAAGCTACGTGGGTCCAGGCTGCCCAGGAACAGATTGCCAAGGAGTCTGGGAATCAGATCTAGTTCTTTGGGCTCCATCCTCAGGGTGCTGAAACTTCATGATCCAGGTTCTTTGTGGGTGCAGTGGAAATCAGCATCCACCAATTGGGAGAATTCTCCTGGGATACAGCCGTTTTCTGCTCCCCTGGCTCCTGTGTGCCTGCCATTCCATGGGAGTCCTGCCAGCCAGCAGGACCTGCATGCCAAGAACATGGCTAGCTCTCAGCTCTCAACACCCGCAAATATTTGCTGCCACAAATCAAGACAAAAGCAGGATGCACCATTAACCTTTAATATATCAGTGCTGGGGCTCTTAATCAATTATGAGGCTGTCACAAATGTGTCTGAAATGCAAATCAGGGCAGCAGCCCTTCGGGAGGCTGTGAAGGTGCCTTCTTCCCCTTCTGGCACAGCCTGTGTCATCCTGTGCTCCAGACAAACAGCCTGAGTCTCTTCTCTCCCTGCTAATATTAGTTTTCACCATCTTTCCTTCCCTCTTCTCCTTCCTTTCAAATGTCTGTCTGAACCCTCTAGTGTGTCAGCTTCTCCAGCAGTCACTTGATATACCAGAAGAAAGATACAATGAGACTAACTTCCAGACCCTCTGCTAACACTTGCTTTATACTGCTTCATTGAACCCTGGCAATAGCCCCTTCATAAAGTTATTATTTCTACCCCCCTCATTTTACAGATTAAAAAATCAAGGCTTCAGGAGATTAAGGAATTTATGGAAGGTCACAGAAGCAGCAAGTACAAGAGCTGTCTTCATACTCAGGACTGCTTGATACAAAAACCTGTCCATATTAGTATCATCCTATGGTGATATTAAGTAGCTCATAGCTAAGTGAGGAGGGCGAACAGGCACATGGATCATTAGAAACATCATGCAAAACACGGTGCTAGAATGAAGCACAGAGTCATGGGAACATGAAGTTGAACCTGTCCCAGCTTAGCAGACAAGGAACTGGGACTGTGGGCAAAGAGGGAGGGTTCATGGGAAGGGTGAGGCTGAGGCTGAGGCTTAAGGAGAAACAGGAAATGGACATATAGAAGAGAGAAATAAAAAAATGTTCTGGGCAAAGATAACATTGCATTGTTTAAATCACGGATGTGTGTGAGAAAGAGAAATCTTCTGGTAGCTAATAACAGTTTACTAGGAGACAGCAGAAATGGTATATTACTAAGCACTAAGAATAGGATTGCAGGACAATTGTCCATAAAATACTTAGAGGATTGTTATAACTGAGTTTTTGTGGAAGTGCAAAGATAATGGAAAAATGATAAGCTATCGATGTTCCCTAGACAATTATGGGGCTGGAGAATGTGTGAGCTGAGTGGGTGGAGACATTCTATACTGTGGACAGTTAAGGAAGCCACTGCAGAAAGTATGTCACACATATTTTAGAATGCAGAGCTGAGAAGCAGCTATGAATCCATGTGCTTGCACATGTGTGTGCATGCATAAATGTGCACACCTGTTCCGGCCTGGGTGTGTTCATGTAAGAGTGTATACTCAAGGGCCCCAGGGCAGGAAGAAGAGAGGAAAGATGGAGGAGAGTGCTGCTGGAGGGCCAGGACAATTGGATGAGGGTATGCCATTTGCTATGACTAACTTTAAAATAGAGGAGTGGTTGTGAGTTCCTCAGTGGTTGGATGGGGACCCCAAAGGAGGTGGACTCATGTGGCTGAGAACCCAACCAAAGCAGCTGGTGAAGGAATCACAGCACACAAGACATCTGCCTGCCTGAGTTTGTTTGTGGATCTGAGCAGTCAGCACTCATGGTGCAAGAAAACAGACTGAGGCTCTTCCCTTGTGGGACAGCTGGAGGGAAAATACTAGCACACATGGGCCAGTGATTGAACAATGCAAAACCAGCTGTAATTAAATGTGAAGCTATAAGATGCTAGCCGTTCTGAATCAGTTTGCAGAAAAATCACATTAGCAAGGATATAGACTCTGATGGGAAGTTTAGGAAAGGGAATTGGGAGGAGAAGGTGTGCTCTATCATTGATGAGTCTTGTCTGAGTTCAGAGAATGGGAGGATTCCTACTCTGTGCCATGTGCTGTTACATGGGCTAGCGCATTTCATCCTCAGAACCACCCTCTGTGATAAGCTATTCTTCCCACCTTATGGATAAGGAAATTATGAAGTTTTTGAAGCTGGTCCATGCCAGAGCCAAGTTGAGCTTGTTGAGCTGTTGATGCTAAGCTGTTCCAGGCCTGGATCTCCAAGATGCCTGAGCTATCTTCCCAAACCAGCTCCAATTAGGGATGATGTCCATGCCATGGAATGTTTGGTTACAGCTGTTTTTATCTTGGACACCATTTCGCTTGTGGCACCATTAGCAATGCCAGGTGCCAGCCACACCACCCCAAGAGCTCCACATGCCACATAACTTTCACCTGGCATGCTCTCTGGCCAGTGACAGAGACTATCTGCTGCAGGTGCCTGCAATGCCTGGGGGGCATCAATGGGAGCCCACCTATGCCCCAGTTAGGACCAGGATACTGGCAGGATAGAGCATGGTCCTGTTTTTTGTTCTTTGAGGTAATTATTCATCCCATTGACTTTTTAGGGTTCAGGCAAGACACTCAGGATAACTCTGCCAGTATTCAACAGTGTTTGTCCAATGGGAGCAAAACATCCCGCTACAGAACACCAGATACACCACCATGGAAAGGTTGTTGGAAAGTACACAGATGGACACAAACATCTGGGGATATCCAAACATATCCAGACCTGGTGCCAGTCCCTCTTTCATGGGATCCTTGTGACAGCCCTGGGAGAACAGTCCTAATTCTTAGGACTCTGGGAGGTAAGGTGAATTCCCCAGAGAATTAGAGACTCATACCAATTTATGCAGGACCCTACAGTGGATCATGAGCAGAGCTGATCACGTATGCCAGGCTGTTCTGGCTGAAGTCTGGTTCTAAACATCAAACCTCTTAAGCAGAGGAAACAAGGGAAGCAACACAGTGCAGTTCAGATGCTATCACACCAGGAGTCCAGGGCCTGGATTCTGGACCCTGCCCAGGGAACATGGCACTTCCTTGCTTTTAGGAGAACTCATGCTGGAGTGGCAGGGCAGGGAAGGAGTTCAGAACCTAGGCAATGGAGTCAGAGTGTGCTTTCAAATATCACTCTACGTCTTGCTAGCTCTGTGGCCGTGGATAAGCTACCTAACCTCTCTGTGCTTCAGTGTTCTCATCTACACAACAGGAATATTCATGGATTGAGTGAATTCAAGCAGAGCACTAAGCATAATGCCAGTCTGTGGGAAGCATCCATTAAGTGTTAGCTATCGTTATGAGCTTCAGTTTCTCCAATGATTAAATGAGAGAATGATGCTACGTCAGTGCTTGTAAACTGCCAACCTGCATGGCCAGTCAAGAAGTGGCTGGTTTGGCTAGCCTCCTGTTTGCCTGCTTTGAATCTGCATTTTTTTTTTTTTTTAGCCCGGGCCTGTGATTTCTGGGTCATCACAGTCTCAGCACTCTGGTCTTAGACCGACATTTACATTCTCTGCTTAGCCCTGTAAACACTGTGACAGAAACCCGCTGGACAAGATGATCCGTCAGGCCTTTTCCTGCTGTGATATTTCATGATTCTATGGCCTGGGCTGGAACTATAAGACTTACTTTGTTTAGGATTCTCTCTTCCAGAAAAGCAGCATCATGCACTTTTTTCTCTGAAACACAGCTGTTTTCTCTGAAAACTAGAATCTCATTTTGCAGTGTCTGTTGAGACTCAGAGCTACCACAGGGAGGATCTCACAGAGAACAGACCTCTAATGATTAAAATGTAGTGTGCTCAGACACCAGGAGCTTTGCCTCTGCAGAGTGCTGGCAGCCACCTCCTCAGAAGCAGGGACCCAGGGAGCTTGTCCCCAAGTCACACCAAGGCTACAGCCACAATGCACCCAGTGGGGCAAAGCAAAACAACCACCTTCAAAGGCACTAGCTCAGGTCACTATGGGCTTTTCTGACTCTTAACAACATAATAATGTCCCCACAGTGCCTCGGGATGAAAGGTAATGCACAAAATTTAGCCACAAACCCAAAGCAAAGCCAATGTCTTCCTCCGTGGGAGAAGAGAGACTTCCAGCAGGAAAAGCCAATGATTAATTTTAGGTGGAAGCTGCTTGCCATTCTTCAAGAGAAATGAGCATTCCAAGGGAACCCTCAAAGGACTGTATTATTCCAAGATGGTGCTCTCTTTGCCTGCTGTCTCTCTAGACTACTAGGTCTGCCAAAAACAAGGTTCTCCCTGGAATGGTTTCCTTCTGCCATGTTCACAGGGCATCCAGGCCAGGTAGGAGGAACACAGCCACCTGTGTTTCCTGGATTCAGAGCCGGGCACATCAGGACCAGGCTGTACCTGAATCTTTGCACTGAAATCCCAAGAGTCACTCAGCAGATGTTGCATCCTGATTTGTTTGAGTGGATGAATGATGTATAAGACACACATCTCACTGCCTCATCTGTGTTTTACTCTCCTTTCTCCTATTCCAGAGACAGTAGTCAGGTCAACAAACAGGGATACCTACAGGTCTCTGTACAGGTATTTCTGATGTTCCTTCATGGGTTTGGCTAAACAGGCTGGAAAAGTAAAAGCAAAAGGACCAGAGGGTGCTTGGCTTGAGGAGACCCCCAGGTAGGAGAGGGCTCCAACGCCAGGATAGGGGGCTTCAGGGACCACATGACTGCAGTGAAAGGAGCCGCTGGGCCAGCAACGCGGCTGTGGGTGGAGCCATCTCAGCCGAACCCTGCCTCCCTCCGCCCTGCACACTGGATCCCCAGCTCCCTCCGTAATACTCCTCCCCACCCACAAGGCCAATGCCAACCGGAGAGAGGCTCCCTTCTCCTTCCAAACCATAGGGCTCCTCTCCCAGGGAAGAAGCCATGTTCCCCCATGCCTGAACTGAGCCTTGTATGACATTTTTCCTGATGCCAGGGCCTAATGGGTAATGTGGCCTACCAGAAGAGGGCTGCACTGTGTCGTAGGAAGCACCATATCCACCATGCCGCCATGAAAAGGTTCTCTGTGTGAGGTTGGGATGAATTCTGACCATGAAGCTGTCTGGACAAGCCGTTCATGGGTCCCCACTCTCCTCAGGATGAAGGGACCCCTCCAGATCTGACTCTTTAGGCCTCGAAGGACTTGTCCCACTTAGTCCTCCAGCAGCCGCTCCGATACTTTATGTTCTGTCCTGTGCAAGATTTTGTTTCCCAAGCCCACAGTGCTCTCTCCTGCCTCTGGTCCCTCTCGTATGCCACATGGAACAGTTCTCCTTCCTAAACATGCGGACAACTCCTCACATTCCACATCTTGGGGAACACATCACTACCTTCAAAATTCTGTTCAAGACATTTCCCCTGTGATGGGTTGGAATGCATCCCCCCAAAGTAAATATGTGGCATCCTAACCCCTAGTACCTATAAATTTGATCTCACTTGGGGAGTCCTTATCAGAGGTCATCAAGTTAAATGAGGTCATTAGAGTGGCCCTACTCCAGTACCACGAGTGTCCTTATAAAAAGGAGAAATTTCTACACAGATACCTACACAGGCAGAATGCCATGTGTAAAATGAAGGCAGAGAGCAGGGTAATGCATCTACAAGCCAAAGAACACCAAAATTGCCAGCCACTGTCAAACGCTGGGGGAGAGGTGAGAACAGATTCTCCCTCACAGCCCTCAGAAGAAATCAGCTCTGCCCACATTTTGATCTTAGACTTTCAGCCTCCAGAACTGTGAGACAATAAATGTTGTCTAAACCACTCAGTTTGTGACACTTTGTTCACAGTACCCCTAAGAAACTAATACAGCCCCCATGTGCCCTGACAATCACAGAAACTTCCCTAATCATGGTACTCGTCTTGCTGTGCTGTACTGAGTCACTTCTCTGCCTGCTCCTCTGAATTGCCAACTGCCACTCCATGAAGGTGGAGACCATGCTTTCTCACCCACTTTTTATCTCCAGAGCCTGACACAATGTTAGGTGCATGACAGGAGCAAATGATCTCTTTATTATAGAAATGTAAGAATAAATGAGTGAATAAATGAATAGGATGATTTCTGGTCATAGACAACTGTTGCAACATGGTCATTATGTTGGTTACAAGGTAATGTTACTGTAGCACTGTTACTCCACCAATGCCCAGCCCAATCCAGGTATTGAATGTGCTCTATACTCCCTGCTGGATGAATAAATGAATAGATGAGTCAATTAACCTGTAAAGAGACACCTCCCAGAGTATAAAAGGCACAGTGTCCTTTCCAGCATGATTTCATTCCTGGCGCCATGCTTCTTGAGGGGAACCTTGCCATATGGAATAGTCACTCAATGTTGATGTGCAGCAGAGCATGACATGAAGGCACTGAGAGGCCCGGGAGGGAGCTTTTGACTGGGAGTCAGAGGATCATAACCTCCTTGGGCAATTAGTCTGAGAGTCAACATGTGAGAGCCTCCAGTAAGAAGAGTCATGCTTTAAAAGAATGCCTACTATGTGCCAAGCTCTGGGTAGAATCCTCATGAAACCCATGAAGGGCAAGTATGAGCATCTCTATTGTCCAATGAGGAACCCAGGCATATGAGATAGGTGACTTGTCTGTGGTCCTGTAGCCAGTAAGGGGCAGCAAAGATTTCTGCCTAGCAGTGCCTACCTCAAAATGCTCTTCCCTTAGAATCAGAGAATTACTTTAAGACTAACCTTACATCTCAGACTTTTCCATCTCTGTTTCCAGTTTTTTATCTTTTGTAATGTCTGAATGTATTTATGTCTTATTATCCTGCATGGTTTGAGGAAGCATTGTCAACGTACCAGCCAAAATTAGCTGTGCTTGGAGAACACAAGCAATGAGCTCAGTCTCTTCACTGACAGCCGAGCTTGAAGCCACAGGCATGGGTACCTTGGAAGTGGCAGTGGCAGCAATATTAGAATCTGAGGTTTCATTTCGCACAAAGGAAATGAAATCCAGGAGGGCGCAATAGGTCCCCTCTCTACTTGAAGTCTTTCCTTTCAACTTTTCAACAGGAATGTTTTATTGAGTGATGTATGTTAATGACAAGCATTGGATTTGATTCAAATAAGCTTACATTTGAATCCAAGTTTTGCTTCACACTAGGTATGTTAACTGTTTTCTGCCTCAGTTTCCTCATAAGCAATCAGAACTTAATGTGGTAAAAATTAAATGATGTAATTTGTGGAAAGCACTTAGGCAGTTTCTAGTACAGAATATATTGTATAACACAGTATATATTCACACACAGATTATACAGTATACACTGTATATTAAAATGCAAGTAATTCCTCAATAAATGATACGTCATTATTAGAACTATTATTATTAGTGCTACTGTTGTTGTTAAGGTAATTTCCCTTACAGGGTTGGGGAACCAGGTGTGACTGATATTTAAGTAGACTCCTTCTCTATTGGACAAATATATTCCAGTTTCCTTTCCACACAAGCAAACCCCAACAGCCCCAGGGTCACACCTGGGCAGTGACTAGCCCACCACACATGTTTACAGCTGTGGGGTTCAGGATGAAGGGCGTCAACCTACAGATCCAAAGTCCTCTAAAGAGCTACCCTGGTCCACCCTCCCATGTTTCCCTCCTTCTTCCCATGATCCTAAAGGGTTAACATGATAATTAAAGCATGGGATCCTAATTCTTATTATATTAATTAAACTGAAAACTGCAGATGGTGTTTAATAACAACTTAGTCCCAGCAGGTTCCAGGCACTTTACCTAAATCAAACATATCATAAAGCTGGCATGAGACTCACAGAGTCTGGCCCTGCCACATCTGGCCAGGGACACATGTTTTCACCTAGAGCAAAAGGAACATACCATCTCTATTACTTATGCAGATGTGGTCTTAAATTGCTTGACAGTCTAATTCCACCCCACCATCTTCTGGAGCCAAAAATAAAGGAGTATTGATTGCAAAGATTAATAACAGAGCTTAAGAAGGAAAATGGTGCAAAACACCTTTTTTCTCTCCCTTCGTGATATAAACGCCTGCCACCCCTGCAACCTAATTTTGTCACCCAGCACACGGGAGTGTATTAATTAAAGTGACACCAAGGACAGGAAAATCTGAGCTCTTGGGGTGATGACTGGAAATACATAAATATGCATCTCCAAGCTGTCTCGGGAAGGGAGGCACGTTGCCAGGCAAGATCAGCATAATTCCACCAAGGCGAGGGTGGAGAGGAGTGTGCACAGCTTGCACAGCTCACCCCTGGAGGTCAAGGCACTTATTCTGGCAAATGTCTCCTAAACCCAAAGAAAGAAACTAGACAAAGAGCAAATATGTGATTTTTCTACCTGGTTTGTAAAGAACTACACCACCACTTTTGTAAACGTCCTCTGATATGGTCTGGAGGGAGCTAATATGAAATGAATATTTATTATGCACTAAATTTCCAGACTATACTGACAGAGATAGAGTGGTGCCATTTTATAGGCAAGGACACTGAGGCCCAGCATGGTTAGTCAATGTCTCAGCCAGTATTGAAAACCAGGTTTGACTAAAACCACACCCCTACACTGATCTGCTGAAACAGAAAGCATGAAAGAACAGGGTGAAATGAACAGATGTTTCTCAGGGGCCAGCTCTAGAACAGTTCTCCTGGAGGGTGTGGATAGGGACCTCCCTCCAGGGTCAGCATGTCCTTTGAAAGGGCCATTTCTTGCTGCCATCCCTCCCACTGGCAGAGGGTGCACTGGGACTTTGATGCCTCTCCCCAGCGGGGGCAGGTACCTGCAACCTTGGGTGGAGAAGTAAGAGATTTAGTTGAGGTTGGCTTGTAAGGCATGAGGGGATGGGGGATGATTTTAGAGGTGCTCATTTTACACTTTTATTTAGGTGAACTTCACTGTAGTCAATAAACCAGTTTCAAGAGCCAACTGTACTTTGTGACTGATTTCGGTTACTACAGGGGACGTGACTTCAACTCATCCCGAGCTTCCCCACTGTCATCATTACCTGTTGGGCATCTCCACCTGGACATCTATGGGCATCTAACACTTACGTAGTCTCAACTGGACCTTGTTCTGCCTACCCAAGCTGGCTCCTCCCCCATACAGCTCACATCAGGTGCAGGTGTCCCCATCCACCCAGGTCTCGCACTAACACCTGGGCTGCCTTGCCCCTCACTCTGGCCTTTCTCCCACCTGTCATATTCCAACAGGCCTGACCGAGTTGAGCCCCACAATATTTCGCAGATCTCCCTACTCCTCCAACATCAGTGCTACTGCCCTAGTTTAGGAAATGCAGAGAACATTCATTAGGCTGTAAAGAGAGGGAACTAAGCAGAGGCAGAGAGGAGCAGACACACAGAAGAGAACCCAGGATCACTGATAACAGCAAAGTAGTGAAGACCTCGCTCTCTGCGGTTATGTGATTGACGTGACTGTCTCCAGTGTAAATCTGCACCCACATCTAGCACATGGGAAGCCCGTCTATTCTTTATCTGCTCTTCTTCCTGGGAAAAATTTCCCCCGCATCCTCTGGGACTTTCAGGTAGAGGCAGGCATTCTGATATGTAGCAACTCTTTCTAAAATCACACACACACAGAGAGAGAGAGAGAGAGAGAGAGAGAGAGACGAACAATGTCTTTTATTTGTTAGCCTACTCCCCTAGTAGGCTGTTTTAAAAAAAAAGAATAAACACAAACAATAGAAGATTATTAGTGAGTTCTTACTCTGTGTAGGGCAGTGTTATCAGTATTTACAGAAAAACCCTTTTAGGTTGTCCCTATTATTATTCTCAGTCTACAGAGGAGGAATCTGGAGCCCAGAAGGTTAATTAGCTTGCCCAAAGTCACATGTCCATTCAATATCGGATCCAGCATGTGAGCACAGGCTGTCTGGCTCCTGCACATGGACTCCTAACCGTGCTCCTGCACTTTAAGTTCATGAAGACATGCAACAGGTCTGGCTTCTTCCCCAGTGTGCCCCCAGAACTGAGCACAGCCCCTAGCACATGGTAGGTGGTCAAGAAAAACTTTGTGAGTGAATGAGTGGATGAGTCCAGCCTGTTCGTGTATATCATTGCTTTAAACCCTGATAACTGGTCTAGTAGTATTCTGTTCCCAGCTGTCTGACTAGGCTTCCCCGCTCTGCAGGAAATGACAGCTCCCCTTGCCCTCCATTTCTATGGATTCATGCTGAGCCAGTGCTCTCCCTGGAGGGCACCCACCATTCCCCATCCCTAAGCCCTAGGCAAAGGCCAGCCATGCAGAATCACATACCATCTCACCTGCTGAGTTCTCCCCTTTGTCAGAGGAAAATCCCCGGCTAACCTGCTGTGTACTGTGGCTGTTGTTATTATGAGATAAGGTGCATTAGCCATGTGAGGGCATTGGCACGTGCATTCCACAGCCTGTCAGACACAGGAGACTGGGGATGCTTCCACAGGGAGGCTCGGAGAGGGATCCCAGGGAAGGAAATGCAGTCTCAACCTGGCCCTTCCTGGCCAAAAACAAAAACCAGAGTAAAAGAAAGAAATGCACATAGACAACAGTCAGATTCATTCCATATGTGAGCAACGGAGCATGTGCCTCTGACTCTGTGTGTGTTTGTGTGTATATGTGTGGTTGGCTACCCTTGTGGGCATCTGTGGGCTGATGTGTGTCCTCTCTGTGTGGAGCTCTGAAGTGGAAGCAGGAAAATGTGCCTATTCTTGACTCCAAATCAAATTTGTCCTGCTTTTCTTAGTGTGTGGAGCCAAGAGAAGCCACTTCTGAGATGTTCTTTAGACGCTACTGTTTAAGGTGAGAGTTTGAACTAAGTTGTCAATAAGCTCACAAACTGTCAGAGTGGGAGGCAAGTTTAGAAATCTTCTTATAAAATCCCTTCATTTTATAGACCTAAAAAATGAGACCCAGAAAGCAGTCACTTTCCAAGGACACACAGCTAATGAGTCTGCCAGGACTCTGCCCACACTCAGTGGACTTTGCACAATGCCTGAGGGACTGCTAGAAAACCTGCCATTGCTTAAAGGAAGAATTTATCTCACAGTTCAGCAATGGCAGTAAGACACTGCTTCTAAAGGCAGGTCACCAATATTCAGGCTCTACGCTGCACATCAAAAAGTCACATTGGTTGCTGTGTTCTCAACAGCTCATGATCCTTCCTGTGAGTCCTCTAAGTCAGGACAATGGAGTGTGCTCAAGGGGTCCAGATCACAGGAAGACAGAGAGAAAAAAAGTGACCTGCAGGACACATTGGCAACCACTGTGGACTTGCACTGGCAAAGCCAGGTGTTTGAAAAACATTATCCAAGTTAGAAATCCCCTTGGTTCCACCAGAGGATGACACATGGGCTAATCACAGGGTTCCCCATTCTAGGCCTGAGTAAGCATGTGGCCCAAACCAGGCCTGACTTGTCTTCCATGTCCAACGGCTATTTCATAACCATTACCCAAATGCAGGGCACCGTCTTCTCTGTTGATTCCACCAAGCCCACTCCAAATGGGCAGTGGGTTAAGTAAGTAGGGGTGGAGGATGATGGGAGTTTCCTATTTATTGAGGGGCCCCCATGAGCCAGGCAATGTGTAGAGCACTTTACAGAGAGCATCTCTTCATAATCACCACCTATGGGGAAGTCAATATTATATCACAGAGGAGTGAACTGGGAATCTGAGAGGGCTCCAAGGGCCCCTTTGGGGTCATGAGGATGGGCATAAAAGGCAGATGATTTCAAATGTGGACAAGTTGGCTGGGAAAATTAGAAGCAAAATACGTCTACAGAGAGTGGAGTTCACACTTTCTGAAGCCCCTGGCTTCCTCCTCCATACCCACACCCTCACCCTGGCTCCGGACCCATTTTTCATCCATGACTTCCTCTTGAATCTCGTTTGACTCCCAGCCCCGCTTCTCATGACTTGCCCTGCTCTGTAGGTCCTGATTTGGCCCATCCTTAGATCAGGCTGTCTAGGGAAGGACTGCTAGCTCCCATCCCCAGACGGATCTTATCCTGAGGCCCCCTTCTGTGTCCTGCTCCAACTGGAAGCCACCTTTAATATTTTAATTCCATGCAGTAACTTAGATTACTAAAATGGAAGCTCTTTCAACCAAGTTTACTGTTTAACATCTGAGCCTGAAGTATCAGCAATCAGTGAATGGAGCTTAGGGAAAGTAGACTGCTCTGGCTTGATTCTGCTTTTCATGCAGCATCATATTCTGCTGTGTTTTGGCTTACAGTGAGGAACACTGACACACCTGCATCATAACAAGGTATTTTGTTTTCTTTAAAAATGTGGTA
The DNA here is from genome assembly GCF_000001405.40 of Homo sapiens. Taxonomy (NCBI): domain Eukaryota; kingdom Metazoa; phylum Chordata; class Mammalia; order Primates; family Hominidae; genus Homo; species Homo sapiens. The sequence continues at coordinate 85,670,010 of NC_000010.11, forward strand.
CAAATATGTTTTTCTAGTTAGTTTATTGAATTGTCTTTCTTGACTTTTTTATTCAGAAATACATATTTATGATTTTTCAAAAATAGTTCATTAATAAATACATCTGGGAAATGCTGGACACGACAGCCCTTCTTGGAGACTTATGGTTCATAATAACACAGGAAAGACTGAAAAGCCCTTTAAAGAAAACTTTCAACTTTCTTTCACCCATCTTTTTCCATCTTCAGAAAACAGAGCTACTAGGAATCCACTTGGAAAATGATGTTGTGTAGACGATTCAAAGACCAAAATGCTCTGAAATGGGCACCAATGCTGAGACTTGCATTAGAAACAGAGCAGTGAGGATTCTGCCTGCCCCCTGAATGGGATTTCAATGGGCTTTTTAAACAAGCCCACTGTATTTCTATCTTGAATAATTAGCTGAAGGAACACTGCTTTTCAAGAAAAGGAGACCAGGGAAGAAAGATACCTCAGAAAAAGGGTCAGAAATGATATCAGAAGTTTAAAATGGCACCTAGACCCAAACAAACATGAAGGCACAGTCTCTTTTGTCTATAAAGACAAAATTGAGGATGACTGCAAGGGGGAGAAGAAACTGCGAGTTGCTTGAAGCCCCCTCATCTCAGGCCCTCCATCTTCATCTCCTGCTCGTGGCCAACTGGCTTCTGTTCCCACCCTTCAGCCCACAGGGTCCTCCATCTTGCTGGGTGGGTCACTAGACTACACAGACCACCACCTCTGGAAACTGCCCTGACCTACATGCCCAACTTGACAATGCTTGACCATGGTTCACCTCTTCATTTTCATTGCTTATTGCAAATTCTCTTCCCTCTGCTTTGCCTATGTGCATCCAGTCATAGATGGTTTGCCACTCCTCCCTTAACCTCTGGCCTTCTTACTTGCATAGGGCTGAGATAAGCGCCTCCAGGATGCCAAAACAGAAATCTCCTGCTCTGAGAATGCCATCAGGCAATCCTCTTTTTCTAAAACCAGCTCACCTCCTGACTTCCCTATGTCCTATGAGGACACTGCCACCCTCAATCCCCCAAATATAAAGTCTTAGTACTCTTTAATCCTTTCTTTTCCTACCTTTGCCTTGTTAAGTCAACAGAACTCTACTGCCAACACCCTCCTTTCTTTTCATTTCTACTGACACTCTCAGCTCAGTTTCTTTCCCTGTCATCTGACTATGGTAGCACAGGCTTGCCACCTTTTACTGCACTTTGCAGTTATTGTGTTTCTTACAAATTGAAGACCTGTGGCAAACCTGTGTCAAGCAAGTCTATCAGTGCCATTTTCCAATAGCATGTGCTCACTTCATGTCTCCATCACATTTTGGTAATTCTCACAATATTTCAAACTTTTAAAATTATTACTATTATTATTATTATATCTGTTACAGTGATCTATGATCAGTGATTTTTGATGTTACTATTGTGATTCTTTGGGGGCCACAAACTGCCCTTATAAGATGGTGAAGTTCATCAGTAAATGTTGTGTATGTTCTGACTGCTCCACTGACCAGCCGTTCCCTCATCTCTCTCTCTCTCTCCTCAGGCCTCCCTATTCCCCAACACACAACAATATTGAAATTAGGTGATTAATAATCTTAAAATGGCCTGATTGAGTGAAAGGAAGAGTTGTACATCTCTCATTCTTGATGAAAATCTAGAAATGATTACACTTAGTGAGGAAGGGATGTTGAAAGCCAAGAGAGGCCTCTTAGCCAGTCAGCCAAGTTGTGAATGCAAAGGAAAAGTTCTTGAAGAAAACTAAAAGTGAAACTCCAGTGAACATATGAATTATAAGAAAGCAAAAGAGCCTTATTACTGATATGGAGAAAGTTTTAGTGGTCTGAATAGAAGATCAACAGGACATTCCCTTAAGCTAAAGCCTAATCCAGATCAATGCCCCAACTCTCTTCAATTTTAACGAAGGCTGAGAGAGGTGAGGAAACTGTAGGAAAAAAAGTTGGAAGCTAGCAGAGGTTGGTTCATGAGGTTTAAGGAATGAAGCTGTCTCCATAACATAACAGTGCAAGGTGAAGCAGCAAGTGCTGATGGAGCAGCAAGTCATCCAGAAGATCTAGCTAAGATCATTGATATAAGTGGCTATACCAAATAACCAATTTTCAGTGTAGATGCAATGGCCTTCTATTGGAAGAAAACACCTTCAAAGCTTTGAAGAGCAGGTTGATTTCTTGTTAGAAACTAGTGCAGCTCATGACTTTATGTTGAAACTAATGCTCAGCAACCATTCTGAAAAGCCTAGGACCCTTAAGAATTATGTTCAATCTACTATTTCTGTGCTTTGTTTTTGGATGGAGTCTTCCTCTGTGGCCAGGCCGGAGTGCAGTGGTGCAATCTTGGCTCACTGCAACCTCCACCTCCCGGGTTCAAGCGATTCTCCTGTCTCTGCCTCCTGAGTAGCTGGGACTACAGGTGCCCACCACCATGCCCAGCTAAGTTTTGTATTTTCAGTTGAGATTGGGTTTCACCATGTTGGTCAGGATGGTCTTGATCTCTTGACCTCATGATCTGCCCACCTCAGCCTCCCAAAGTGCTGGGATAACAGGCATGAGCCCCCACGCCCGGCCTCTGTGCTCTGTAAATGGAACAACAAGGCCTGTGTGATAGCACATCTGTTTACAGCATGGCTTACTGAATATTTTAAGCCCACTGTTGAGACCTACTGCTCAGGAAAAAAAAAAAGATTCCTTTCAAAATATTATTGCTCATTGACAAGCACCTGGCTACCCAAGAACTCTGATGAAGACGTACAAGGGGATTAATGTTGTCTTCATGCCTGTTATTACAACATCCATTCTGCAGCCCATGGATCAAGGTATAATTTTGACTTTCAAGTTTTATCATTTAAGAAATACACTTCATAAGGCTGTAGCTGCCATAGATAGTGATTCTTCTGATGGATCTGGGCAAAGTAAATTGAAACCTTCTGAAAAGGATTCACCATTCTAGGTGCCATTCAGAATACTTGTAATTCATGAGAGGAGGTCAAAATATCAACATAAACAGGAGTTGGCAAGAAATTGATTCCAACCCTGATGGATGACTTTGAGAGGTTCAAGACTTCAGTGGAGGAAGTAACTGCATATGTGGTAGAAATAGCAAGAGAACTAGAATTAGAAAGGGAGCCTGAAGATGAGACTGAATTGCTGCAATGTCATGATCGAACTTAAATGGGTGAACATTTGTTTCTTACAGATGAGCAAAGAAAGTGGCTTCTTGAGATAGAATATACTCCTGGTGAAAATACTATGAACATTGTTGAAATGACAACAAAAGGTTTAGAATATTCCATACATATAGTTGATGAAGAAGTGGCAAGGTTTGAGAAGTGTGACTCCAACGTTCACAGAAGTTCTACTGTGAGTAAAATGGTACCAAACAACATCACATGCTACAGAGAATTCTTTCATGAAAAGAAGAGTCAATTGATGTGGCAAGTTTCACTGTTGTCTCATTTTAAGAAACTGCCACAGCCACTCCTACCTTTAGCAATACCACTCTGATCAGTCAGGAGACATCAACTTTGAGGCAAACCCTCCACCAGCAAAAAGATTACAACTCACTGAAGGCTCAGGTGGGGGTTAGTACTTTTGAGCATAAGGTACTTTAAAATTAAAGTATGTATATTTTTTAGACATAATGCTATTGAATACTTAATAGACTACAGTATAATATAAACATAACTTTTATATGCACTGGAAAACCAAAAAATTCCTGCGACTTTATTTATTGCAATATTCACTTTATTGAGATGATCTGGACTTGAACAAATTCCTCTCAGATCACTCTTCTCGATTAATAGATCCATTTTTTTAACCTTAGGTTAAAATGAGTTTGCTCATCTTTCACTTTTTCCACCTTTCTCTACCTGACATAGCAGGTTTAGATGGGACCAGTTTATTGCAATATTCACTTTATTAAGATGATCTGGACTTGAGCAAATTCCTCTCAGATCACTCTTCTTAATTAATGGATCCATTTTTTTAACCTTAGGTTAAAATGAGTTTGCTGGTCTTTCACTTTTTCCACCTTTCTCTACTTGACATAGTAGGTTTAGATGTGGCCAGTTCAGATGCAATGTCCTTTGTGTTTCCTTCTATCCATATTTCCAACGGGATGGGTAAGCTTGCTTTTCTCTCTGGGCTTCTTCTTTGGCTTGTGTGCTGTGACTTGCCCAAGAGTTACAAAGCTGTGGGCTCATATGTTCTCCCCCTGTGTTCGCCTAGGGAACAAAGCCTGCCTCTTTCTCCATTTGGTTCTAGATGTCCCATAGAAAGCCCCCCTCAGAACGGGTGCCCAAGAAATGTGTGTTAAGAAGAAATCCGATGAATAAGAACAGCTTCAACATACCCCACTGCACATCTCAAAGTTCAAGACAGAAAAATTACAACAGTCTTATTTGAGAGATTAATGGATTAGAAAAGCTTATATTATATCTTTTGTGACATTTTAGAATATTCCAGGGATCATCATATAGATTACATTGATTGATCAAGATGACTATCCTATGAAATCAACTGCAATTAACTATCCTCATTTGAAAGATGAGGATCTGGAGGCTCTGAGAGGTTAAGGGTTATTCAAGATCACATAGTTAATATTTTGTGGTGCCATATCACCTGTTCTTTCTGTCACACAACTTAGTACAAGAGAAGTTAAGAGTGAAAATTGCAGGTTTTTTTTTTTTTTGGTGTGCAGCATAAATCCATCCATAGCAGAGTCAAATGGATTACCTGACACTGACATGCCCAGTGTATGCTAATGAGAAGCTCAATCATTATTAATGCAAATTATAACCAAAGACTCACTATGTCCTTTATCTCAGGAGGAGACATATGTAGGACAAACTCTGGGCATGAAGCTCAGAAATTTAGAGTATCGTTCTGCTTAAACTGCTCATATATTCCATTGGAGTTTATTGGAAATTATTTTTTAGGGCTCATTTCTGGGTTCACGTTCAGTGCACTATCAATAGCTTCACAGCTGTTTTGGAGAAGATAAGAGACCGTCCATCAGGTTCAATGCTGCTGGTTTGTGTCATTTCCTCTTAGGAAAACATTTCCTCTTAGGAAAATTGCCCAGAAAAAAAGAAACCTATTCCCAGGGAAAGTTTTAAGAAATTATTCATACTCTTGGAGGGTCTAGAAGATACCTAGTGATGCTGTCTGCTCTGGAGCTGCACACACGTGAGCTATGCAGCCAGGAGGGATTGATGAGGCACATTAGGGCTAGCAATGAACTCTGCATGATAAGTCTAGAATGGCAGTGCCCTTCTCCTCTCCTTTCTTTTCCCTCCACCCACCAGCTATTCCAGATCCTCCTAGGCTAAAGGACAATGAAGATCTCAGCCTGGGGCAAAATAATGCAGGAGGAGCTTGAACCTACCACAGGGATCCAGGATGACTCCTGGTGAGAAAGGCTGCTTTCAGGAATGACAGACATCTTACGTGTATCACTTGGGGAATTCATTGATTCAGTCCTTCAGACTATGCCTCAAGTTCCTTAAGGGAGGTATCTGAGAAAATGACAAAGCAAGCTACTTAAAATGTGTTCATGTGGTGGAAAATGAGCTCGTACCTTTCTTCCCATCTTTATCTCTCTCAAACAGAGGGAGATCATAAACACAATGAATTCAACATTCAAACTTCAGAGAGAAGAATAATGTTCTTTCAATGTCCAGCAGGACCCCTGGTATAAAATTGCCATGCAGCCTGGTGTGACATTAACCCACATAGACTAAATTGGAGGCATCAGCTTCAGGTGTTCATGAGAAGGACAGGTTTGCTTTTTGACAGATTAGGCAAAGTCATAGGGCAGGGGTGGTGTCCATGTTGCTTTGGGTGTTCCATGCATTTTGTGAGGGCTGGGACCTGCATGTGAAGATGTAATTGGAAACTGAAGATTCAGTCAGGCCCTGGGGTCAGAATCCCCAAGGCCTTTGGCAAATTCTGCCTCCTGTCCTGCCTGTGTGACCAAGTGGTTTTCGCTAAAAAGGCTGTGCAATGCCACAGGGATCACCTCCAGCAAGGAGATTTTCATGGCAGCAAAGAACATGGATATATCTTGAGTTTCTTCTTATGGAAGGGAGGTCAACCAGACCTGTAGTGGATACTTTTAGTGTTTCACCTCGAATCTTTTTTGGAAGGTTGAGCCTGTTCCTTCTGTGAGTGCCAGCAGCTAATGGGGCAAGGACACTGCCCTCCATGGAGGGACCTGCCTCCCCTGGAGATGACCCCCATCTTATCTCTTCCGCAGCCCACAGCCAGCAACTGACTCACATGGGAATGTCAAAGGCAGCCTCTTTGCCTCAGGGTGGGATCAAATCTGTGGGGCCACTTGGAATCCAGAGTTCTTGCGGGATCAGGCTGGAGCTAGTTTCCACCTGATACCATATTCTTGCTTAGCACGTTTTCCCTGCCTCACTCTATTTCCCTCATTCTGCTTCTCCTGAGGTTCCCCCTCCACCCAAGAAACCATTTGTGCTAGAGTCCTCAGCTTAAGTTCTGTTTGTAGGAATCCCAACTACAGGCAAGAAAGCTTCGCAGTCAAACACACCACAATGGAGACGCAGCTTCCAATGAGCCTGCCCTAGCCCTAGAACAGCAAAGGGAAGCTGGGAAGCCATGGACTTTCAAGTTGCAGAAAGCAATGAGGCACAGCACTGAGCACCTTGGAAGCACCCAATAAATCCTGGAGGTCTGACTTGATTGATAAAGCTCCATATTTTCACATGCTTGGTTATTTGCACGTCAACATTTCTGTTCTCCTCTAAGTCCTCAGGGACCAGTCTCTGCAAGGACAATTAATTTCACTTGCTTACCAGATTTAAGCACAATTAGTCACTGGGTTTGCCATTAGTTAATGGCAGGCAGAGCTAGCAGAACCATCATTTTTATGTTTGGGGTAGTAATAAAATAAATAAGGCCTTAAGAGAAAACCTGACCCTACAGTGGCTGCTGTTTGCAGATGAGCTGAGAAATTAATTTTTCAGCCCCTGTATTTGGACTGAAGATTCTAAACTCTCTTGATGATTTGGGAATGTGTGACAGAGCTCCTCTGATAAACTCAAAATGGGGCAAACTGATCCCCAAAACAGCCAGAGCCTCCTTAGTGTTAAGCCTGGAATCTATTTCTAAAACAAAATCTCAAGGGCCAAACTATTCAACAGGATAAGAGATAAAGTGGGACTCAGGTAGGTAAGTTTTAATTAAGACCAGGGTCTGGGTATGAGGGCTGCTGGCAGGCCAATAATGCACACCCAGCCAGCATGCCTGGCACACAGTGGCCAGCAAGCAGTGGGAAAAGGGACAGGCATGAGGCATCCTTGTGATTCAGTTGAGGGGGAGTAGGGATCAGAGCTCACTTAGTTCCTGGATGCATCAATATGGGGAATTGAGAAGAGAGAAAGGAAAGAGAAACAGTAACTTCAATGGAGCACCTATCATGTGCTAGATACATTCATATAGTTGTCTCTATTAACCTTTTCAACAGCGTTGTGAAGAAGGGATTGATATTTCTATCTAAAAGCCAGGGGAAACAAAGCTGAGAAGATACAAACCTACATCAGATGAATACCCAAGTCTACATGATTTTCAGCCCACCAAGGTTGTACTCTCAATACTTTTCTGGAATTGTAGTTAGATGGGACCTTCCCTGGAGAGAATGGAGTCGTAAGTTTGACCGGAGTCTCCCCTACGAAGTAGTGTTTATGAGCTGAGCAGTGAGTGAAAAGAGGAGTGTTGAAGGAAAATAACCTCTAAGAATATTCACGGAAGTGAGAAAAGCATGCACAATGGGGGGAGGTGAAGAGAGACACGCTCCATTTTGTAGCCTGGTGAGATTAAAGGGAAGTGAGTTCATAGAGTGTATCTTGAGACACTAGGGACAGACATGGTGCCAGAAACGCCCCAGACACCAAGAAAGCACCTGTGTCTACAGAAGAAGGGATTTAACTGGCACATGTACAGGCAGGATGCTGTATCTCATTCTTTAGTGACTTGGCACTAAAAAGGCAGGAATCTCATTTCTTCACCACCAGCATTCTGCCCCCAACAACCCTCAGACTCTAAGTTGGCCAAAGCTAAGGCAAGACATGGGGTGGCCTTCCTGGCTCCCTAAGAAGCATTTCAATTGAGGCCTCAGTTGAGCAGGAAGGTCAGGGTTCTGCTGGGAGGAAAGGGGAATGATCACCTTCCTGCTCGACAAGGTGCCCCAGGAGAAAACCTCAACTGGGATGCTTCAGCAGAGGAGTGATTTTTTGTTGTTGTTGATATCCTGAAGGAAAAGACCAAAGGCTGGACATAATTCCCTAATCTCTCCTCCACCGGCCTCTTTCAAAGACACATTCAAAGAGAATTCTAGCTCTGGGCTGTGGTTCTCTTCAGCCCTTTCTCATGCCCTAGGAGCAGAAATTGTTAACTGGGAAGAGTGGACTTCCCCAAGGTCCAATACCCAAAGATGAGGTCTAAAACTTGGCTGCTGTAGTTGGTGGCCCAGGGAGAGGTCCCATCCCCTCATGTGGTCTCTGCACCATATCTCTTCTCTACTTGAGTCTCAACATTATTTTCATTTTCTCTAGTCTCCTTAGAGACTTTGCCCCATACATCAGCCCTTCTTTACCTTGCCTCTGGCTACCCTCTGTCTAAAGACATGATAAGGTCCACCTCATCCTAAAATAATTACTGTAACATCCAGATCTCCCTGGACACCTCCCTTAGCTCTGCCACCACCGCCTCTACAATCCTCTTCTCTCCCCTTCCTCTCACCATTAAAGTTCTCAATAATAATATGCCCTCACTTCTGCAACTTTGGTTTGTACTCCTTGTAATTTAAATTGCACCCTGAGCATGCAACTAAATTTTTCTCTCAATGGATAAAGGAGAGGGAACTAAACTCAGCCAAGTCCCACGCTGCTGCTTAACATGCATTATTATAGGTAATCTACACCTGACATAAAACAGACTCTCAAACAACACTGATGATTTAATTTGTCATTTAATCCAGTACTCTTTCTAGCTTCACATGCCCCATCACATCTAGGGATAGAACATTCTTCTGCCATAACTACCATGGCAGTAATTCTCAGTGGTGGTGGGAGGCAGAGTTTCAGAAGCCTCCAGGGAATTCTGCTTATCAACCCCAGACAGACACATCCTTGAAATACCTACTCATTGGAATAGCACAGCATCTCAGCTCCCAGGCTTCTGACCAAGCTCCCAAACCATGGATCTCTCTCATCTTCCTCTGCCATACCTAAAATATGACTCCTGTCGAAGGCTTTGTCTGAGCCCTCCTGATTTCTCAGTCTACAGTATATCCAGTAGGAATTCACTAACTCCCACAATGAAGAATGCATATTTTTGCAGCAGACTTTGAAGGCTCTGAGTTTAGCAGCCCTGACTTTTCCCCGACCAACAGGAGCACATTTCCAGCTGTTCCTCAACCCAACCTAAATGGATCTGGGGAGGCCTGCTGGAGGAGGGAACAATTGAATTGACACTTGCAGGACAGATACAGATATCAATGCCCTGGAGAAGCAGAGGACTAGGGTTTTCCAGGCAGAAGGAACAAGGATGCAGAATATAGGATATGGAGGTAGGGAGCCCTGGTCTGTTAGACTAAATGTCTTACTGGCAGGAGAATGGAAGTGGATGAGGCAAGAATGTTTCCAGAGAAAATACCATCCTGCTAGCTGAGAAGAAGCAACAAGAAGCTAGTGATAAAACCAAGGCAGAAAGTATTTAAAAACCAACATCAGGACCCATGACAAACCATCTGTAACAGTCAGTGGGGGGATATTAACACACTCCAGCGCCTGCCCTGAGGCAGCCCCACCCCCTGCAAGATGCAGCATGATAGAATTATGCAGGCAGTGACCATGATGGGCCTAGGGAGAGGTGGTGGCCAGTGAGTGCAGGCAGTCACGGAAAGAGTCCTGAGGCCGTGGGCAGGGCATCTCAGGCTCCTATGCATGCAGCACAGTCCCACGTCAGGCCTATACTAACAACCTGCTCCTGCTTTTGATGCCCAAGGCTTCCTCCAGCCATTCCAAGGAAGCCCTGGAGTTCCTGCAAAATACTGAAGGGTAAACATGAGTACAGAATAAGTGTGTGTGCAGTGGCAGGAGGTGCAGAATGAGGCTGCAGGCAGACCCAGAAGGGCCCAGCTTAACACCCTTTGCCCTCCTCCTCTTTCCAGGTCACCTCCCACCAGTGTCCAACTCCACCAGTAACCCTCTGCTGTATTTCCTTCCTCCATTCCAGCTGCCCCTGGCGACTACACCCTCACTCCTTCCCTAGCCCAGGAGTCTACAGCTTCCTTCTCCAGCCTATTCACGCAGCTCATCTTCCCAAAGTGCCACATGATCATGGCCAACTCCTGATGGAAACTCTCATCCATCTGCCATTCAGCATAGAAATCCCTGACCTAAAAAATAGCAGATGCTGGTAAGGATGCAGAGAAAAGGGAACGCGTATACATCATTGGTGGGATGTAAATTAGCACAAGCCCTATGGAAAACAGAATGGAGATTTCTCAAAGAACTAAAAATAAGACTACCACTTGATCTAGCAATCCCACTACTGGGTATCTACCAAAGGAAAAGAAGTCATTATATCAAAAAGATATGTGCACTCATGCTCATGTTTATCACAGTACTACTCACAATAGCAAAGATACGGAACCAATCTAAATGCCCATCAACACGGGCATTATCTTTGACCAGATAAAGAAAATGTGGTACATATACACCAGGAACTACTACTCAGCCATAAAAAATAATAAAATCACTTTTGCAGCAATGTGGATGGAACTGGAGGTCATTATCCTAAGCGGAATAACTCAGAAATAGAAAGCCAAATACCACATGCTCTCACTTACAAGTGAGAGCTAAATAGTGTGTACACATGGGCATAGAAAGTAGAATACCAGACACTGGAGACTCAGAAGGGTGGCACGGGGCTGAGGGAGGAGAAATTACCTTATGGGTACTATGTATTCTATTTGGGTGATGACTACACTAAAAACCCAGACTTCGTCACTACGCAATATATCCATGCATCAAAACTGCACTTGTACTCTCTCAATCTATAAAAGTAAAATTTAAAAAAGAAAGAAATCCCTAATCTCGTATTGCAGGCCCTCCATGATGTGGCCCAATCTCATGTTCAAGTTGGCTCCCCCCATGAGCCCTGTTCTCCACCTAATCTAAACCCAGGAAAAGAGCAAAGGAACTCTGAATCGGGTTCTCTGGCACCTTTTTCATGTCCAACATTGCACCAACATTTTAAAATGTATTATCTATTTTTTTCTAATTCAAACAACACCTATGAAGCAGATATTAGTATTCTTCATTTGTTTCTAGAAAAATAACAAAGAAAAGAAATAGGTTTGGAAAAGTTAGGTTGCCCAAAGTTTATTAATTCTCAAGGCTGGAGCTCAGACCTTTGTCTGACAGTCTCCACATCTTCTCTTCTTTCCCACGACCCGAGGCTTCCCCAGAGTTCACTGTGGGTCCCCACCCAGGTTTACCCCACATGCACTGCCTCTTAACCTGGAATGCTCCATGCACTGTCACTTTCTAAATCTTGCACCTTCTTCACAGCCCAGCCCCTTTCTGCCACCGCAGCTGAGGGTAATTATTCCCTCCACACCACCTTCAGCCCACGCACCTGACACATCACTCCAGGTTGTTCTGCTGGCATTTCCGCATCTCTCTCACTTCCCATATTAAACAGCAAGCTGCCCGATGGAGGGTCTTTTGCAAGGACCACAGTATATGGCCTGCCCTCCCCAGACATGCTCAGCGCAGTGTCTGTGCAGAGTGGATGCTCAACCAGAGTTGAACCAATGCTGGGGTACCTCAGGCAATTCACCCAACATGTGCACTCAGTTTCTTCCCCGGCACAGCACATGCACCAGCAAACACTGAGAGAGCACCTGTCCCACCCCTCATGTCTTGGAGTGTTCACTGGGTGGGGCAAGCAGCAGACAGCAACAGATCCTGGATAATAAGAACAAGAAAGACAGACATGCCTTCTCAGAACCAGCTGGCTTCTCTGCAGCAAGGGACAAGGGTCCCAGGGAAGGCCTTGCAGATGGAAGGAAAAGGCAACACGCTGATATGAGAAGGGTATAGAGATAAGTCCCAAGACCAGATCTTCCAAGAGCTGTCATATAACAGTGAGAAGTCTCTTCATTTCCTAGATCCTCTGTTTCCTTCAGTGAAATGGAAAAAAATGCAATCCCCACATTCCAGAGAGTTGGGAAGATGATATGAGATTTGTTTGTAAGACACTTACTATAGAGTCTAGTGCAGTGTGCAGCAATTATGGTCTATGATTAGTAGACCATAGACCTGGTCATAGACCATATGCCTGTTCAACAACAGGCCCTCCAAAAATAGGTAAATACATAAATGAATAAAAAGCCCTGATTTCTGTGGTGTCATTACTCCCACCATAGACAACTTTACCCTAGCAATGTGATGTCACTGAATTGTCACCAGCCAGCAGCACATCACTGCTTGCAGATCACAAAAAATTGCCAACTCACTTTGCCACTCTCTCCACCTCCCTATAAACACAGACAAACATCTTTGGTAGGTGGAAAAATAAGCTAACAGCTGTAATTTCCAACTAGGGTGTGGAGAGGAGATGGAGGCCTCAGACACCCTTCTCCAATGGAGGCCAAGGCCTTCCACAGGCCTGCCTGTGTGGCCTCAGCAACACAGCCTTGGGCAGATTGAGTCCCTGTATCTGATGTGCAGCCAAGCTCCTGGAATGTAGCTGCTTGGAAAGAATCACAAGCCTGCCTGTTGTGAGAATCCTCTTTAGATGTGCAAGAAGATTCGCCTTCTGGCATCCCTCCCCAGGGAAGATGGCACATGGCTAGGAAGCCTTTCATTTGTGGTCAGTTTTCACTTTCCAAGGATGTGAAGAACATCCTACATTTCTACTTTTGTTGTTGTTGTTTTTGTTTTTCAATCAGTACTTAAGTGATACCCAATTCCCATGGTGACAGCCTGGGCCAGTAGCCCTCGCACTCAGCTTACCATCACTCTCAGATACACAGAAATTATAACAGAGCTTCCTTCTCTGTCTGTCTGAAACTTACTCACCAAGAGAGACCTCACTTTCTAGCAAGTTCTAGAGGCTTGTTATAGGCATGCAGAGAAAAAAAATAGAAACATAAAATTTCACTGGACAAAAATGAAGATGATTATCTCTTACAGGTGGTTTGAGGAATGTGTGAGTGTCAAAGTGAATAGGGAGAACTCCATGTCTCTCTCAGTGACAATATGCCAAAACAATTGACGAGATCTCTATGCCTTAAGAGTGGAAATTTTTAAAATAGTGCTCTGAAAAAGAAAATAGAAATGAATCTTCACAATACTGTTTTAGAGCTCTTAGATTTGGCATGGGACATAGGCAATGCCTTGAGGACTGGTGAGCTGAAACATGGCACTGTGGGACATACAAAGGTCATGAAGTCAACTTTGAAGCAAACTGTTTTTCTCCTTTCCTCATTAAAAGCAGCAGTTGTAAAGAAAATTGCCATGAAATCCTTGTAACTTTAGCTTTTCATGCTCACTGGCCATGAACTGCATTGAAGAACTCTGGTAAAATCTGACCTGAGAATAAAATAGAAAACTTAAATATTCCTATAACTATTAAGAAAAACTAAATCCATATTTTGAAACCTTTCTACATTGAAAACTTTTGGCCCAGATAGCTTCACTGTAGTGTTCTACCAATTATTTAAGAATGAAATATTTCCAGTCTTCAACACACTCTTACAGATAATAATAGACAATGAAGGTTTTCCCTGTGATAAAGAGTGTCTAACTGCTCATCTATTTTCTCTCGCTGGGCACAAAGGAACACTACATTCCACAACCTTTCTGGCAGTTAGATTACAGCCATGTGACTAGATGCAAATTAATAAAATATGGGCAAAAATTATGTATAAAAATTCCAGAACAGGCCATAAAGTGTTATTTCCCTTTACGTGGAAACTTCAGAAACCATCCATTTAATATGGGAGCCTCACAATATGTGCAGATTCTGAATATCTTAGTCATTTTTATGCCAAGGGGGCAACCTAAACTATAATGGACTATGAAGCAAGTCAGAATTAATTGTGTTAAGATATTTTGGCATTTAATTGTTACCACAAAATAGCTTAGACTAACTTGACAAATATACATGCCCCTAAAACAATGTATACCACTATCATAACTTTCATAACAAAATCTGATAAAGGTGATAAAAGAATGAAAAACTACCAGCCAAACTTGCTTGTAAATATAGAGATAAAAACCCTAAACAAAATATTAAGAAAATTAATATAGCAATTGTAACCTGAGTTTCTTTCAGAAATGCAAAGTTGGTTTAAAATTAGAACTATCTATGTAATTTGTTATATTCATATATTAAAGTAGAAAAAACTATAATCATCTTCACAGATATAGAAAAAGCATTTTATAAAATGTAATATTCATCTTAAGGGAAAGAAAATCCTCTTAGCTTCATAGAAATGAAAGAATTTCTTAACTTAGTAATGGATATCTGTAAAACATATTAAACATCATCCTAAATGGCAAAATACTAAAAGCTTTTCCTTTGAGAGAAGAAACAAAATGCATAAGTCCACCATACTATTTAGCTCAGGCTGCCATAATACAATATCATAGACTGGGTGGCTTAAATAACTGCAATTTATTTTCTCACAGTTCTGGAGGCTGGAAGTCCAAGATCAGGGTGCTAGCCTGGTGGGGTTCTGGTGAAGGTTCACTTTTGGCTTGCAGACTGCCATATCTTCACTGTATCCCACATGAGAGAAATCTCTTTCTCTTCTTACAAGGCCACAGTCATTTTGCATTAGGGCTCCAGCCATATGACCTCATTTAATCTCAATTACTTCCTAAAGACTCTGTCTCCAGATATTTACCACACTAGGGGTTAGGGCTTCATCAGATGAGTTTTGGGGAGAGATGTAATTCAGTCTACAGCACCCATGATAGCTTTTATTCAACATTGTACTGGAGGTATTATTTCTTTCATTAAAAGGGGGATAAAATGCTAAAGATTGTAACAAGATCATGATTTTCGCAAATGATATGACTGTGCACACAGAAATTCCAGGAGAATTTATAGTTAAGTTATTAAAATTAATAAGCCTATTCAGAAAAGTAACTGGATTTAAAATCAATACACAAAATCAATTGTTTTTCCATACACCAGCTATATAAATGTAAAACATAAAGTAAAATTTACAAGATATCATGAAAATGTCAAATGCCTTGTAATAAATCTAACACAAGGTGTCTATATCTTTACAGTAAAAACATGAGATAAGTTAAATTGAGAAAAAGAATGCTTCAATAAATAGACTACCAATTACATGGGTCAGAAAACTCAGTATTATAATGATGTAATTTATTTCCAAGTCAATCTGTAAATTCAATATAATGAAACTATCTATGGTAATTTTTGGTAAAACTTAAAACACTGATCCAAAAACATATATGGAAATGAAAAGATCCAAGAGTAACCAAAATACTCTTAGAGACAAACTAGGTTGGAGACGTGGATATAATAGTTACATAGATTTACTAGGAAGTTAAATAAATTAAAACAGTTTGGTATTTTACAGAGATAGACAGACCAAAGGGAGAGAAATAGTAATTCTAGAAACATGCCTACATACTTTATTTATGACAAAGATGACACTGTGCTGAAGGAAAGCAGTAATTTTCTGATAGGATAGCAATATAGTGTATAGAAAATGTAGCAGAAATAAATATACTATTCATATTAACAATACAGATGTTATGATACATAGTGATGTATTTAATAAAAATGTGCAAGACCTTTATTGAAAAACAATATAAAAGTAACTAAAGAAAAAAAAACTAAATGGAAAGATAGATATACTATGTTCATGAATAGAAAAACCCATCGCATAAAGGTGCCAATTATCCCCAAGTCTATTTTGATCTTGTTTATGTGAAATATAAGAAGCTGATTTTCAATACATATAAAAGAATAATGCTTCAAGGAAGTTCTGGAAAAAATAAAAAAGATAAGTGTGACAAGCACAAAAGTATTATAGTGCACAGGGAAAAACAAATAGATCACTGGAGGAGAAAAGAATGCCCAGAAGGAGTCTCAGTTACATACACAGCCTGCTTATGTGATTGAAGAGATACTGGAAATCAGTGGAGATTGTCAAAGTCCATGGACTTTACAGCACAAAAAGTAAACTTGAATGCATACTTGAGCCAGTGATTCTATTTCAAGGTATGCATTACAAAGAACACATCCATGTGTTGTTCACAAGACATGTATAGGAATGCACACTGTAGCACTGTCAATATTGGCATACTGGCAAAATATTGAAACAATCCAAATGCCAGTGGTGAATAGATAAACATGATATGGTTGTATAGTTAAAATAAACTTTACTATATGGTATCTAAATAAATGGACTAGTCCTATATGTACCAAATGTTGATTTTAAAAGGCAATACATAGAAGATTTCCTACTATTTGTAAATTAGATACAGTTCAATACTACTTATACACATTCTGAAGATATTAAAAGTAAGATGATACATATATTAAATATATTTCTGATCTAAAATATCAAAGATATTAAGAAATTAAGAGATAAAATATTTAAAATAATCCTATATTTTATTTACAGATGCATATTATATATATTTTTGTTTGTTATATTACTTTTAATTTTTTTCACATTAAAGTGTTTTCTACAAAACATACAAAGATAGTTAATGAGATGTGAACTATGATAAAAAATACAGGTATTGAACAAGCACTGAATCTGTTTACACATAGGACCTAATATTTATCAACTCTGGATGATTATGGTTACAAAGAAGAAATATACATTCATAATTTTTGTAACATAAATATAACACCAAACAAAAAATGGAAAGTAATACTTAGGGAAATAGGAAGCTACTTGTTTATGTGTATAATAATCTTATCTTCCACAGTGGAGATTAAAATACTTGAACCCGATAGTTGAAAGTACTGCAACTTCTTCAGTTTTTCAGATGTGACTTTATAAGTACAGAATAACTTAGGATAATTTAGGAACCAATATTTCTTGTAATAAAAAATATTCAAACTTCAGCAATATCTTTAGTTTTACTTCTATTCATTGTTCCTCAAAGTCAAGTAAAAAAAAAAGTAATGATTTTATTAAGAACAGGTTTATAAGATGACACTATTTTATTCTCTAGATTACCTCTCTCTATCCATCCAAAAATAGGCAGAGCCAGACACCTGAAATGGTTTTCTCCAAACTGAAAATATTAATTACTTGGAGAGAGGGAAACATGTTAGTAATTGTTATTTTTTAAAATTTGAATTTGTATGGTAAGAATAAAAATATTTGCAAAAAAATAATGTAACCAGGACCAGGCACGGTGGATCATGCCTGTCATCACAGCACTTTGGGAGGCTGAGGCAGGAGGGTTGCTGGAGCCCAGGAGATTGAGGCTGCAATGAGCTAAGATGGCGTCACTGTACTCCAGCCTGGGTGACAGAGCAAGACTCTGTCTCAAATACCAAAAAAAAAGAAAAAATAGTACAATAATTATATTACAAAATATTTAAGGCAATAAAGTACAACATGGCAGAAACAGAGAGTATGAGACGAGGGATTTTAAAAAGAACACAAACGAAGTGGGAAAAGTTCAAGAACAATTTAAGGAAGAGCAGGCTTTCACCTGGAGGAAATATGAAATTTCAAAAAACAAACAAACAAATTGAGGAACTGAATGTGTGTTTTGGGGGAGAGGGGCTAACCTGAAAATAACTGGTTCACTGAGAGTGAAATGACTGTGTTTAAAAGTGTGGGGAATACAGTATATGATTTCAAATGAGGGAGTTGGCTGTGATTGCTGGTATGAGAATAGTGCTGGGAAATCCCAGGAAAATAGGATTGTTCAGTCTATTAAGTCAAAACAGATTCACAGAGGAGGGAGCACAGGTTATTGAATGGAAAATTCAAGTTTTCCAGGAAGATGAAGTGAGTAAAGTATTCCAGGATAGAAAAGTAAAACAACAAATGCAAAAGCACAGAAAGGAGACAACTTGTGATTGAAACATCAGGTGAGTGAGAAGGACTGGGAAGGGGGAAGCCGTGAAGGCAGGCAAGGCTGTCACATCATTGCCTTTGGTGTCTACTGCAGCAGCTTGGACTTCTCACAGGAGATCACAACAGACTTTCTCTTGGGGAGAAAAGGGGCTGCTGGGAAATAACTTGATTAGTCATTAAAAAGATACTCAGAAGGTATTGGGTGAATTTTTTAAAAAGAGACACGGCTGGAGTGCAGTGGCACAATCACAGCTCACTGCAGCCTTGGACTCTTGGCCTCAAGTGACCCACATGCCCCAGCCTCCCAAAGTGCTTGAATTACAGGCACGGGCCATCACACATGACCTAGAAATGGATAGATTTAAACACCCCCCAAAGCAGGAAGGAAGCTATCTAGGTGTGTGAACACCTGCTTCAAAAATGAAACAAAGAGGAGACTTTGAGGCATATTTATGAGGCATTCTGCATCTCTAGATGGCAAACGATGTCCTGTGGGAAACAAGGACAGGCTGGGGTTAAGGGTGAATGAGTGGCCAGGTGGATGGTGGTGCTCTTCCACTAATGAATAATGTTGGTAGAATGGTTTAGGGTCGCGCTAATGAGCTCAGTGTTGAACAAGTTGAGCCTATGTATCTGGCCTGGACCAGGACCCCACATGTCACACCTTCAGCATTTGGTGGTAATTGAAGCCTTCGGAGTGGGTGACACTGCTCAGGAACCACAGAGAATGGGCTAAGCAGGGAGCAGGATGTGTAAGCCTGGAAATACACATCCCCTGTCCTGTACTTAAGTGGCTGATTATTTTCAGGCAGCTTGTCAGGTTTCATTTATCCTCTTGGTTTTAGCACTTTGTTCCACCCCGTTGATATCATTTAGAATTTTGATTCTATCAGTCAACATATTAACCATCCCAGGCTTTTCAGTTTAAAATGTCTCCGTCGAGCACGCACAACTCTCCCAACTTCCTAATACAATAATCATAAAAATGATAAAATATCACACCATCATTCAAAAAATTACAACTTTGTAGAATAGCAAATGTGCCATTTCTTTATAAGCATTTTGGAACTGGTACAGATAGGCTAATAAGGAAAGAGCCAGGAACAAAAAGTCAACAAGATAAGATGTAAATGGGAATGGTTAATAGAATGAATTGCAAGGGAAAAATTGAAATTGCTCAAATGAATCCACATGGAAAGTAGAGAAAACAGGATAAATTGTAAGAAGGACACATTTCAAAAACTAGCTCTGAATCCAGAATAAAATAACAAAGAAATGGAAAAAAAAAAAGCAATAATAAAAGGTCTATAGTTATAGAGGCTAGAGAACACAGCACCACCCTCAAAAACATTCAGAAGTTGCTGATATACATGCAAACAACTATAGTAAATATTATTAAACAAAGCTATAATTGGAAAAAAATCCTCAAATACAACAAAAACCAAAAGATAGCATGGCAATTGAAAGAAGCCACCACATTCCAAGGAAAACCAATGGAAAGAAACAAATATTACTGGTACCCATGCTAACAAAAACCTGTCAAAAAATCCTGTAGGAATATTATTTTTAAAAGGAGGAGGAAGGACACATTCAAAGGAAGAAAAATAACTCAGGTCATTTCTCTCTTGTGAAGTCTTACATGGTAGAGAATATAAACTTGAATTCTACCAGTCAAGTTATTCTTCATATGTAGAGAACCAGAAATGAAACAAATCTTCAGAAATGTAGGAGTTTAGAAAATAAAATATCTATGTCCTTTTGTTGAAATATCTAGTGAAAGCACAATTCAACCAATCAAGAGTTAAACTGACAGTAAGAACCTAAATGCAGAAAAGCTGTATGTAAAATGATTCTCAGATTTTCCAAAAAAGATATCAGAAGGAATAACACCCAACTTATCAACATTATCTTATGGAGAAAGGTTTTAATACACCACATCTATTTGAACTGGCTATGAATTAAATCTGCAATAAAATAATATGTTAAAATATAGTCTTATATTTTTGTACTTTGATTTGTGCATTTTTCTTTTGCTTAGATTTAATTGTCTTTAAAGAATATGTACTTTTATAGCAATAAAATTTACATAAAATATATACATCCTTAAAATTGTATATTATCTGTGAAATTGATTAGTATGTCTTTGCTCTCTTAATCTAAGCCTGATTACTGTTGAATACAATGGTTCTAAGGTCAGCACTTTATGACATTCAACTAAGCAATAATCTGCCAAGTTAACCCAAATATATTTTATTAATGCACTAGGGCAGTTTTTAACCAATTACAAATCTATTTATTCATGTGCCACATTTTCCTTTTTATCCACAGGATCACTATCTAAGACCACCAAACAATGTACTGCTGAAATCAAGACATACCAGGTCTATGAATTATTCTGATTTGCCAGTCTAAAAAGTCTATCAAAAACAAACAAAAACAAATTGAAAGAGGTTAGCCTAACTCAAGATGATCTGTTCTTCGGGAATTGGTACCACCTTCTAGGGATCACTTTTTCCTTTCTAAGTGTTCACAGATCTTCTTCCAAATAAATCATTTGTAAATGTTGGCACAGTTGCACATCAAATTCACTGGCATATCAAATAAAAAAATTCAATAATTCAATGGTTTCTCAAAAAGTTAGATATAAAACCATCTCTGATACTCTAATAAGCCATTCTGATTTTCAAATATTATCAGCAGTGCAGACACACACACACACACACACATTGTTCCAGAGTCTTGGAATAGTTTTCTAATTGAATCTGGAAGCAGGCTTTTACAAGGCATTAAGGGAAAGATAGATTTATTCATTTATTGAGGACCAAGTGAATGCCAACACAATGCTGAATCATATGATGTCTAATTTAATTAATTGACATAATCCACCACTGAACTAGTTAATTCTATTTTGGAGGTGAGAAAGCTAAGACTGAGATCCATAAAGTGACCATCTAAAATCACACAGCCAGCAAGCCACTGTGCTAACACACAAAAAAATGAACCAATGGTTTTTACATGACAGCAGTGATTCTGCTTCACATTATTGTCTGTTAATGCCACCCAGTATTCCTTAAACACTGACCTCCTCTGCCAACGAGAGTTTAGAAAGCAATTCTGCCATAACTTTTGTTTTCTTTAGCATTTTTCACCAATTGAAGTTCATTCTTTCACTTGGCCCTATTTACACACACTTTTGAGTGAATATCCATGTTTTGTTTTATTATTCTGTGCATTACCTCTCAATTTCCTTGCTTGTCTCTTACCCCTCTGATTCCCCAGATCCTCGTAGTGAGCCCCTGGCATCTGCCTGCTGTCCCTCCTCACTGAGATAATTTGTGATTAGACCACTCACACTGCATGATTTAAAGACTTTCCCCTCTTCAATCATAGCTGTGGACCTCAAAATGTTCCTTTTTCTGAAAAATTTGGAATTCTGCTTACCTGAAGAATTAACTAACTACCAAGTTGTGCCTAACTCTGCCTTCTAGTTCGCATCTATTACAATCAATTTCAATAAGACAGTTTCTCTTTCTCCCAAATTTCCCACTACTTGCATTATCAACAAATTATTTTCTTTCCCTCATTTTTAAAATGTGAACAGCTCTGCATGGCCCCAAATGTGCCATACATATTCTGGCTGTTTTCCAAGACACTTGCCCTGGGCTTGTCAGAAGATTGATGGGTCCACAGTCACTGAACACCAAAAGCAATGACCAGCTCATCTAAACTACCTTGTTTCCACCTCAGAGGTTTCTGCAGTCGGGGTCCCACTGCACACTGGGAGACTGTCACTGTAGCCCTCTCGATAGTTCTACATCACACTGTGCAATGAGCTGCCAATGGGGCAGCTTGTTCTCAGCAGCAGTTATCCTTCTTGGTGGTTTCGTCAGTAGCTCCATTTATGCAGCTTTCTCTCTACATCTATTCTTTTCTTCTCACAGCTTTCACAGTATGTTTTCATTATTATTTATTCACCTACTGGCTCTAGGAGATCTGAGTCTCTCAAGCTCCACTGTCCGTTCATTTATGAATTTACCCAACCCTACTATGTGCTAAGCTGAGTGCCAAGCCATTTGTTTAGCATGGAGAACTATAAAATGAATGGAACACAGTTTTTACACTCAGTGAAGGCACAGTTTAATGAAAGACAGAACTTATAAATGAAGAGTAAAAATTCAATTAAATAAGTTCAGTGATAGAAACAAAAGGAGAGGATGGGTGCAGTGGCTCATAGCTACAGTCCCAGCACTTTGGGAGGCTGAGGTGGGTGGATTGCGTGACCCCAGGAGTTTGAGGCCAGTCTGGGAAACATGGCAAAATCTCATCTCTATAAAAAAATGCAAAAATTAGCCAGTTGTGATGGCGTGTGCCTGTGGTCCCAGCTACACAGGAGGGAGGCTGAGGTGGGAGAATAACTTGAGCCCGGGAGGCAGAGGTTGCAGTGAGCCAAGATTGTGCCACTGCACTCCAGCCTGTGCGACAGAGTGAGACCCTGTTAAAAAAAAAAAAAAAGAAGAAGAAGAAGAAAGAAACACAAGGAGGACAAATAAATAGTCAAATTTCCAATTAAAGAAGTTATATAGGAGCTGTCATAGAAAATCATAAGAAAAAACCTA
Organism: Homo sapiens; assembly: GCF_000001405.40. NCBI lineage: Eukaryota > Metazoa > Chordata > Mammalia > Primates > Hominidae > Homo > Homo sapiens. The sequence goes on from NC_000010.11 coordinate 85,692,784, forward strand.
CAAAATAAACAAAACTGAATCCTGAAAAATTCAAACACTTGACTAACAAGCTACAGGAAGTAACTGTACTTTGAGATATTCCCCAAGGCCTAGCATTTGAGACATCACAGAACATGCATGTAGCTGTAAAGGTAAGGCTGTAAAGGTGGCTATGATCAAGTGAAGATGCTTTGCTAAGAAAGCTGAATTTTAATCTGAACACTAGAACTACTAGAGATGAATAAGCGATGACTGACCTTATCAGAATTTATTTTACAAAGAATTTTGTACTTACAATATGGAGAAAGATTTGAGGGAGTGAAAAGAGGAGAGAAAAAGGTAAGTCAGGAGGTTGGTATAATAAACTAAGTAGTCATCAAGATAATAAACTAAGTAGTCATCAAGACATAGAAATCACATGTATTTGAGAGATTTAGGGGGTAGAATGGATAGACTCTATTAACAGAGTAGTTCTGGGGTGTATGGAGCAAGTGGATATTTAGAATTATCCCAGTTTCTGCTTAGTCAATAAAATATTTGGGGAGACGGAGAGTGAGATACATAGGTAGAACATAGAGACTTTTTGTACAGTGAAACTATTATGTATAATACCATAAAGATGGATATATGTCATTATATATTTATCAAAAGCAATAGAACATACAGCACAAAAAGTGAGTCTTAAGTAAACTAAGACCTTAAGTTAATAATAAGGTATCAGTATTGGCTCATCAACTGTAACAAATGTGCTACACAAAGATGTTAATAATATACTACAAGGCTATAGTAAAAAAAAACAGCAGGGTACTGGTATAAAAATAAATACACAGGTCAATGAAACAGAATAGAGAACATGGAAATAAAGCCACATATCTACATCCAACTGATCTTTAGCAAAGTCAACAAAAACATGCACTGGGGAAAGGGGACACTTTTCAATAAATAGTGTGGGGAAAATTGGATTGCCATATGCAAAAGAATGAAGTTGGACCCTTATCTTTCACCATATACAAAAATCAACTCAAGATGAATCAAAGACTTACATGTAAGACTGAAACTACAGAAATACTAGAAGAAAACCAAGGGCAAACCAGACATTGATCTAGGCAAATAATTTATGTCTAAGACCGCAAATGCGTAAGCAACAAAATCAAAAGTAGACAAATGGGAATTAACTAAAAAGTTTCTGCAAAGCTAAAGAAGTAGTCAACATTGTGAACAGACAACATGCAAAATGGGAGAAAATAAATATTTGCAAAACATGCATTCAATAGGAGACTGATATCCAGAATTTACAAAGAACTCAAATTACTCAACAACAAAGCAAAGAACCTCATTAAAAAGTGGGTAAAGGAAATGAACAAACACTTTTCAAAAGGAAACATACCAACGATCAACAAACCTGAAAAAATGCTCAACATCACCGATTATCAGAGAAATGTAAATTAAACCTACAGTGAGTTACCATCTTACACCAATCAGAATGGCTATTACTAAAATGACAAATGTAACATGTTGGGGAGCATGTGGAGAAAAGGGAACACTTATACACTGTTGGAAGGAATGTAAATTAATTAGTACAACATCTATGGAAAACTGTATGGAGATTTCTCAAAGAACTAAGGATAGAACTACCATTTGATCCCACTACTGAATATCTAACCAACGGAAAACAAATCACTATATCAGAAAGATAACTGTTCACTGCAGCACTGTTCACAATAGCAAAAATATGAAATCAACTTAAATGTCCATCAACTGGTAACTAGATAAAGAAAATGTGGTGTGTATATATATATATATATATATATATATATATATATATATATATATATATATAATGGAATATTATTCAGCCATAAAAAAGAATAAAATCATATATTTTGCGGTAACACTGATGGAAACAGAGGATATTACCGTAAGTGAAATAACTCAGAAACACAAAGTCAAATTCCTCATATTCATTTTAGTTATAAGTGGGAAGTAAATGATAGGTACACATGGACAAAGAGAGTGAAATAATAGACACTAGAGAGAGACTTGGAAAAGTGGGAGGGTGGGAGGGAGGTGACAATGAGAAATTACTTAATGGGTACAATGTACATTATTTGAGTGATGGTAAGACTAAAAGCCCAGACTTCACCACTACACAAGATAGCCATGTAACAAAGCTGCACTTGTACCCCTTAAATTAATACAAATAAAAAATAATAACAATAGAGGAAAGTGGAGGGAAGAGAAGATGAATATATGAGAACTCTACTACTTTCCAGTCAATTTTTCTGTAAACCTAAAACTGTTTAAAAAAATAAAGTCTACTAAATTTTTAAAAACATAGAAGATAAGAGAAATACTAATTTGGGACTTTCCAGCACCTTGAATATGTCAACTTTAGGTTAGTCCTCAATGAGAGTCATCTTTTCAACAGTCTATAGAGTAAGCCTGTGGAAATGCTGTCTCTTGCCTTCCTTAAGAACTCAGCGTCTACTGCAGAAGGCTGGACTCAATGCCCTTGATGTTTCTTTGACAACCAGATGCTGTAGTTCTGGATGTGACATGAGAGAAGTGGGTATGCACCCATCATGGGAGTTATACAACTTGCTTGCCCCTTTGGAACCTAGCTTTCCTGAATTATATAATTCTCACTACTATATTGTGTATGCATAAGCCTGAACAGGAATACAAATTTTACAGCCAGGTTGTGCATATGGATGACTTATCACAGCTATAAAATGTGGATGCTATCAATTCATGAATCTCACTGTTCAAAGTGAAACAGTACATAAACTGCAGACTGCATTTCACACAATTCTAATGGATCTCTGGATACAGGAGGAATAGAAGAATAAAAAGAAGTAAAAAATCAAAAGATGTGGAATATCTCCAATTTGACCTTAAGAAAAAGATGTCCTGTCAACGCTTTGCCCAGTAGGATACTGATGTGTATGATGGACATAAACAATTGTCCTCAATCTAAAAATAAATAAGAAAAACCAAAACCAACCAACCAAACAAACAAAAAAAACAAGCCAGCTGCTCTTTGCATGGCAGAGCTGTAAAGAGCATGTAACCCAAGGAATAGGGAGCACAAAATACATGAATTCAGAATTTATAAGAGACATTCGTGGCTTCCTAGCTATTATGGACACAGCTCAGGGATGCATAATTTGTCACCTCCCAAGGGTGTTTATTCATCTTCAGACATGTCTGACACCAAGAAGGGACTTTATTTTATCCACTGAGCTAAGCTTTATCTTGAACTATTCTACCCAGTGTTCCTAATTCTTTATATATGGACCATAAAGCACAAGTCTGCCTTTAGTAATTAAGTAATCCAATTAACATATGTATAGGGTATATATACTGTCAGGCACTGTGCTAAGCATTGGTTCTACAATAGGGGAAATACAAATTCAGTCCTTAGATCCATGGATTTTATTGCCTATAGATATGAGTGCATGTTAAACAAAAGTAAGCACATAAGTACATAATTGCACAGTGTAATAATTGCTATGAAATAAAAGTATAGGGTCTATGACATTAAAAAAAATAGAGAAAGGTGATTTAAATTAAGGTGTATCTAGGAAGGCCATTCTGAGGAGGTGACCTTTGAGAAGGATGAGTGAAATTGGCTAGGTAAAAAAGCAGAGAGAAAGGTGCTCTAAAAATATGGACTAACTTACATGAAGAAGAGCAGAAAACTATTCATGATGTTCAAGGAGCATACAGAAGCTACTGGGAGATGAAATTAAATACACCTAGACAGAGACAGCGCATGCCGAATTTCCATTTTCTCTTATTTTTCTTGGTTAGTCTTGCTTGGGGTTTAATACCTTTATTAAAATTACCAAATAACCAACTTTAAGCTTTGCTAATTTTCGATGTTATTATATATATTCTAATTTTTTCTTTCAGATTACATTGAACTAAACTTGTCTTTATTTTTCTCTCCTCTTAGGAAGGAAACTAAGAATCCTGAATTTAAGCAAAACTCTTTTTTTGTTTCTAATATAGGCATTTAAAGCTATAAACTTTCCTTTAAGCACTATTTTAGCTGTATTAGATAAACATTTAGCTAATACTTTAGCTAAATATTTATTATTGATAATATTTAGCTAATACTTCAGTAATATTTTAGCTACATTATGTTAGTTATATTTCCTGTGAAGTTTCTAGATTGTTTATTTTTATTGATTTTTAAAGTAATTAATTGTAGGGATAGAACATGTTATGTATGATTTTACTCTTTAAATTTACTGAGATTTAATTCTATGGCTCAAAAACTGGTTATTCTTGGTGAATGTTTCATGCACACTAAAAAACTGCATATTCTGCAATTTTGGGGTATAGCGTTCCATAAATGTCAATTATGTCAAGTTAGCTGAGGGTATTGTACAGATTTATAAAGCCTTAATAGTTTTTTGTTTACTTGCTGTATGAGTTTTTAAGAGAATTAAGTTAAATTTTGACTATATTAGATTTTTCTACTTATTCCACTAGATTTGTCAGATTTTACCTCATAAACTTTGTTGCTCCATTTTGTGCATAAATATTTAGACATGTTTTCTCTCTGGTGAATTTGTTCCTTTTATTATTATGCAATGACCCTCTATCCTCTGTAATACTCTATGGCATAAAGTCCATTCTGTCTGATATTGATATAGCCTCACCAGCTTTCTTATGCTTACTGTTTACATGGTATATCTTTACCTTCTCTCTCAATGTATCTGTGTCTCTTTGTGTTTAAAATGCTTACATACAGCATATTTTTCCCATTTTATAGTTATTAATAATGAGAAGACTGGTCCTGTTCCTTTATCATAACAGGGAAGACCTGTTCCTTTATTATAACATGTAGAGAAATTTACACAATTTCTTTTTCATGAGTCCCATTAATATGAACCACCTTCCTTTACAAGTTTATGGTGGCCTGAAGGCAAGAACTGATATGTAGCTCCGTTAAAATGTATTTTGTTAGATGCAGCCAATCACTTCAGGCTATTGAAATTTTATAGATCATTTTTTTTCTAACCAGAGGCACTGCTTTCCAAAAATTAATGTGGATTAAAAACACTTAGAGATCTAGTCATATACGGATTCTGATCCAGGATATCTGAGGTGAGGTCTGAGACTTCACTTATGCCAGCGATGCTGGTCTATATGGTCCACTTTGAATAGCAAGGATTTACAGTACCCACTAACTTGCAAAGAGTCATTCAGATTGTCTATGTCCGAAGTTACTAACTTGAATGGCTTGATGGTGTACGGTGAGTATGTGAGGGTATAAAGTCAGCAGGTGACAAAAAATAAAAAAACGAATAATACCAAGGGTAATCTGGAGAGTGCAGGTACCACCGAAAATATCAAATTTACAAATTTAAAACATTGTGCTGTCAAAAAACCAAGGATGTCAGATAAATTCAGATCATATCCAACTGTTTATGATTCCTGTTCAATGTCACTACCCACATATCAATTAAAAGAATGAAAGGCTCACATGCAAAACGGCAATGATCCATGTATAAACAGAATTTAAGTTCAGTCTCCAAAGACTGATTTATCCACAGTAGCCCTGCCCAATTCATATTTTCCACACTTTATCCACAAATACATCTTTTAAGACCTTGACACAGGTGTTATTAAAAATCCATACATATTTCTGTTTATCATAAAATGTTCACTTATCAATGGGCATTCAAGTATCCACCATGTTTTTTCAACCTGATAGCTCATTTTTTTTCTTTTTAGCACTGAATCATATTCCATTGTCTGGATGTACCAGAGTTGATGTATCCATTCACCTGTTAGAAGATACCTTAGTTGCTTCCAAGTTTTGAAAATTATAAATAAAGCAGCTATAAACATTTATGTAAAGATTTTTGTGTGGGCATATATTCTTAATTCTTTGGGCTAAATACCAGAAGAGTAACTGCTGTATTATATGGTAACTGTATGCTGTGTTTTGTAAGAAACTGCGAACTGTCTGCCAAAGTGGCCATAACAGCAATGAATAAGACCTTTTGTTGCTTCATGTCCTCACCAGCATTTGGTGCTATTGGCGTCTTGGATTGTGGCCATGTTAATAGGTGTGTAGTGGTATTCCACTGTTGTTTTAATTTGCATTCCCTAATGACGTGATGTTGAGCATCTTCTCATGTTTGTTTGCCATCTGTAAATCTTTGATAAGGTGTCTGTTCAGAATTTTTGCCCAATTTTTAAACAGGTGGTTGGTATTTTTTTCATAGTTGAATTTTTTTGTTTGTTTGTTTTGGGGTTTTGTTTTGTTTTGTTTTTTGTTTTGTTTTTTTGAGATAGAGTCTCACTCTGTGGCCCAGGCTGGAGTGCAGTGCTGTGATCTCAGCTCACTGCAACCTCCGCCTCCCAGGTTCAAGCAATTCTCCTGCCTCAGCTTTCCCAGTAGCTGGAATCACAAGCATGCACCACCACACCTGGCTAATTTTTGTATTTTTAGTAACTATGGGGTTTTGCAATGTTGGCCAGGGCTGGTCTCGAGCTCCTGACCTTAGGTGATCCTCCCGCCTCGGCCTCCTAAAGTGTTGGGACTATAGGCATGAGCCACTGTGCCCAGCCTAATTGTTGAGTTTTAAGAGTTCTTTGTATATGTTGGATAACAGTCATTTATCTTACATGTGTTTTGCAAAGATTTTCCCCCAGTCTGTGACCTGTCTTCTTGTTCCCTTAACAATGTCTTTCACAGAAGTGTTAAATTTTAATAAATTCCAACTTAACAATGTTTTATTTTATGGATCATGCTTTCGATCTTGTATTAAAGAAGTCACCACCAAACCCACGGTCATCTAAATTTTCAGTTTATTAAAAGACTTTTAAAAATAATAATACAAAATTAAAAATCAGAGGCTTATAGTAAATTTTCTATTAATAAAGTTTATTTCTTTACATTGAGATAATTGGAAGGAATTCTACCTCAGGATAAATTAGGCTTCTGGTGAATTCAGTCTTTTTATTTTCTCCTCTGAATCTGTGCAGATTTGTGGACACAAGACAAATCTCTAATTATAGATTGCCTATCTTTCCTTAGTTTAACGCAATAATTTATCTGTTCAAAGTATTCGCTTATTTTAGTTTACAAATGTGATGTTTCCAGTGAAAATATGAGCAAACATCTTAAATTGCAGTTTATACCAACATGCCTATTTTACATATATGGAAACTAAACATCAGAATAGTTTCTAATGCCATCCAGCTATGTGGTGACAATTTCAAAATGGAGCTGCCTACTTCCTAGACTACAATCTTCTCTCCCACATCACCCAGGCATGCTGGCGTTCTTCAGCCCAGGACTCCAAATCTCAGAGCTGTTCCTTTGACTATGAAGGACTTTTTCAACAACCGTAATGATAATATCTAGCAGATGTATGGCCCTTTCTATGTGCCAGGTAACTTTATAAACTCTAACATAGATAATCTTCCCAATAAGCCTGTGAGATAGTTGCTATTCTTATCCCTACATATAGATAATAAAAGAGAAAAACAGACAGGTTAAGTGATTTTCCAAGATTACACAGGTAGTAAGTGAGAGAGAAAGGATTTGAAACCAGTCAGTCAATCTCCTGTGTCTATGCTCATGACAACTATGCCTTGTTGTCTTTCTTAGTCATGCCACTGTCCTCCTGCCTTCCAACCTGAGCCTCTGGGCCAAATATGATCTTTCTGAATGTAGGATGCTACTCACATAGGATTTTTAAACAAAGTATTTCCTAAATGCAAACATTAATGGGTTTAATGATGCATTTCCTAAAGGCACTATTAAAAGGTGCCTGTAGTGTTCAACCTCATGCCAATGCTGCCTTTTTCAAATGACTCTGCTGTCATCATTATAGCAGGTAAACATCTATTAGTAATTGTAAAGGAAATGAAAGTAATTACAGCAGCTTGAGACTGCTTAGTGAACAAAAATGAGATATTCCCTCCTCAATGAACATACCTCATACTCAACCCCAAAGAAAAAGGTAAAAATTGCTTAATGTAATTGATAAGTGAATCTCTGCTCTTTAGAAGCAGAGATTTAGATTTCAGTTCTCTTGGATGCTGGCATTGTCCATGTCTTTTAAGGAATGTATAGATTCCTAAGACTAAGACAGTAATGATGAACATTTATATGGACAGGGTGGATTGCAATCATTATTGAATGGTTTTATATTAGGTTGAAAATTTATAAGTTGAAGATAACTAAGAAAATATGTTTATAAAGAGAGAACAGATATTCATCCTTACTCTTTTCAGATACCTACTGAAATGAACAGGCCATTTTTTAAAATCTGGGGCATCATGTATCATGAACCAGGGAAGGCTGCTACCTACTTATTTAAACTCTTTGGGAGGTTTCTAGGGGAGAAGGAAAAAATTAATGGGATACAGCAATGGGAGATTCAAATTCTTCTCACTTTGAAAATGCATCATCTCCGTGGATTTCTTCTTATATTTACAGAGACAAAGTAATTCAGAGCAGTAACAACGGAAAATGCCTAGGTTCCTCACAGCTCTGCTGGGTACAGTATGCAGAAACCCTCATTTACCAGCATTTTTCTCTGAACAATAGTAATTTGTCAGTAAATAGCAGAGAATATGGACGCCAAGAAAAAAAAAAGGTTACAAAAAGTTACACAGTGGTTTCTCTTACTGTTGTTGAGGCTGTATCAATCCGAATGCTAGAAAATGAAACTTTGTCACTGGGGCAAAAAACTCAAAAGAAAAAATTCCACTAAGGCACAGTTTTGATAATGGGGATTTAAATTTATATCACAGTCTCCACCTGTACTCACAAGCCCAGGTTAAGACTTGAAAGGGTGATTCTAACTGCATCCAGATGTACTATTAGGAAATCCAAAGAGAATCAACCCACCTGTTTATGGAAAGAGCTCTCCACATTCAAGGAAGAGTAAACTAAACAAAAACTGATTATTCTAAAGGAAGTAACTCAGGAATGAAAAACCAAACATCATATGTTCTCACTGATATGTGAGAGCTAAGCTATGAGGAGGAAAAACATAAGAATGATACAATGGACCAGGGGACTTGGGGGCAAGGGTGGGAAGGGGTCAAGGGATAGTAAAGTGCAGTGTATACCGCTCGGGAGACAGGTACACCAAAATCTCACTAATCACCACTAAAGAACTTACTTATGTAACCAAACACCACCTGTTCCCCAACAACCAATGGGGAAAAGTACATGAAGATATTTCCAAATTAGAAAACAACAACAATATGGAGACATAAAGGAAGATATCATTATGAAAGAAATAATACATAAATATATTTACATAATATTGTGTTAAAGATACTAAAGAATATATTGTTAGAAAAGCATATGCTAAGGAAAACAAAGCCAAAATTTTAAAAATACTATAATTTACTACAGCAAGGACTCTTTATAACAAAACTATAAAATGAAATCCATAAAACATTGGCTGAGAAATGAAAGAAGTACTAGCAGAGTCAAAGCAAGAAAGAATGAAGGGGAAATAAAAATATATAAGTAGAACTTATATAGTCATTAATATTGCTAAAAGGCATGTGAAAACTAAAGAAAATCTAATCTGAAATATGAAAGACAAACCAAGGAACTCCCCAGAATGAGCAGGAAAAGGAAATGAATTGAAAATGATCAGAGAATGTGACAGATGTGGAGTAATCATAATACCAACATATGAAAAATCAATGTTCCTGTAAACAACATGCAAATAAATGGGATATAAATAATAAGGAAATATTTAATAGATGACAAAATTATTGAACTAAAGTGCAAGTTTCTGTTTGCATATACAAAGACCTCACTGAATCCTGAGAAAAATTAATGGCATATCAACCAACTCCGGAAGTTTTTAAGTTGAAAGACATTAGTAAGGATAACTACAAAGGAGAAAGCACAAGAGAGGAGAAAAAAGTGGAAGAGGAAGACGGACAACAGAAAAAGGAAAAGGAGAACAAAAAGAGAAGAAGAAAAAGAGCAGTATGAGGATAAACGGAGGCAGAGAGGAGAGATGAGAAAAAAGTGGAAAAGGAAGGGGAGGAAAAGAAGGAAGAAAGAGAAAAACAGGCATGTGGTAAGTGAGAAGAAAAAAGGGGAGGAGAAGGAGAAGGAAAAGAGGAGGAAGACGGTGAAAAGGAAAGAAAGAGGAAGAAGGGGAGCATAAGGAAAAAGAAGATGAAAAAATGAACCAGACAGAAGGAGAAAGGAGGAGGAAATAAGGAGATGAAGAAAAGAGGGGAGAAGAGAGAAAGTTGTGAGGGGGTAAGAGAGAAAGTAAAAGAGGAGAGGAAAATCAATAGGTGAAAGTTTCTCCATTGTATGACACACAGGAAGAAGGCAATCGAGCAAATTCTAAACAATATTAGAGAGGAAAGCTGTGACACAAGAATATTATATACAGATATGTTTTAATTAATGTATAAAGGCAACAGAAAATGTTCTCAGATATGCTGTCTCAGAAATCATACTACTTATTATATTGCTCAAAAAGCTACTCCAGCTGATAAAAAATCCATCAAAATAAAGAAATGAACAGCGGCTAAATCATAGTATAAAGAAACATTCAACAATCATTAAAACAATTGGAGCATAGAATTCAGTCTTAATTGTAACTATAGATATGGATGGGAAAAAATAAAAGAATGTGAAAGGCAAATATATATCTTAGAGACGCCATATAGGATGTTAAGAAGAAAAAAGGAAACATAGTAAACTGGGTCGAAGATTCTGTAAACAAAGATTAAGTAGGAGGAAGAAGGAGAGGAGGAAAAAAGGTATTTTAGTATTACCTTACATAAGGAGAGATATGAATATATAGTTTCACTGTTAATTCTGAAAGAGAAATGGAGTTGCATGTATTTTTAAGCCTAAAGAAAACCACTGGAGATTAAAAGAAAATGCTTAACTTCAGGTAGGAGGTAACTATAGTAATAATAATGGTAACAGAATGCTAAACACCATAAAAAATTTGAAATGCACAAGTGGACATGAGAAAAATAAAATCATATATTTATATTATAATAACTATCGATAGTTAAAAATTCTCCTTTAAAATACAAGATTACAATTTGGCATGTTTTTGCAGTGGCTGGTACTGGTTGTTCCTTTCCATGTTTAGTGCTTCTTTCAGGAACTCTTTAGGGCAGGGCTGGTGGTGACAAAATCTCTCAGCATTTGCTTGTCTGTAAAGTATTTTATTTCTCCTTCACTTATGAAGCTTAGTTTGGCTGGATATGAAATTCTGGGTTGAAAATTATTTTCTTTAAGAATGTTGAATATTGCATAAACTAATGAGCAAAATAACCAGCTAACATCATAATGACAGGATCAAATTCACACATAACAATATTAACCTTAAATGAAATGGGCTAAATGCTCCAATTAAAAGACACAGACTGGCAAATTGGATAAAGAGTCAAGACCCATCAGTGTGCTGTATTCAGGAAACCCATCTCACGTGCAAAGACACACACAGGCTCAAAATAAAAGGATGGAGAAGGATCTACCAAGCAAGTGGAAAACAAAAAAGGGCAGGGGTTGCAATCCTAGTCTCTGATAAAACAGACTTTAAACCAACAAAGATCAAAAGAGACAAAGAAGGCCATTACATAATGGTAAAGGGATCAATTCAACAAGAAGAGCTAACTATCCTAAATATATATGCACCCAATACAGGAGTACCCAGATTCATAAAGCAAGTCCTTAGAGACCTAGAAAGAGACTTAGACTCCCACACAATAATAATGGGATACTTTAACATCCCACTGTCAACATTAGACAGATCAACAAGACAGAAAGTTAACAAGGATATCCAGGAATTGAACTCAGCTCTGCACCAAGTGGACCTAATAGACATCTACAGAACTCTCCACCCCAAATTAACAGAATATACATTCTTTTCAGCAACACATCACACCTATTCAAAAATTGACCACATAGTTGGAAGTAAGGCACGCCTCAGCAAATGTAAAAGAACAGAAATTATAACAAACTATCTTTCAGACCACAGTGCAATCAAACTAGAACTCAGGATTAAGAAACTTACTCAAAACCGCTCAACTACATGGAAACTGAAAAACCTGCTCCTGAATGACTACTGGGTACATAACGAAAGGAAGGCAGAAATAAAGATGTTCTTTGAAACCAGTGAGAACAAAGACACAACATACCAGAATCTCTGGGACACATTCAAAGCAGTGTGTAGAGGGAAATTTATAGCACTAAATACCCACAAGAGAAAGCAGGAAAGATCTAAAATTGACAACCTAACATCACAATTAAAAGAACTAGAGAAGCGAGAGCAAACACATTCAAAAGCTAACAGAAGGCAAGAAATAACTAAGATCAGAGCAGAACTGAAGGAAATAGAGACACAAAAAACCCTTCAAAAAATTAATGAATCCAGGAGCTGGTTGTTTGAAAAGATCAACAAAATTGATAGACTCCTAGCAAGACTAATAAAGAAGAAAAGAGAGAAGAATCAAATAGATGCAATGAAAAATGATAAAGGGGATATCACAGAAATACAAACTACCATCAGAGAATACTATAAACACCTCTACACAAATAAACTAGAAAATCTGGAAGAAATGGATAAATTCCTCGAAACATACACTCTCCCAAGACTAAACCAGGAAGAAGTTGAATCTCTGAATAGACCAATAACAGCCTCTGAAATTGAGGCAATAATTAATAGCTTACCAACCAAAAAAAGTCCAGGACCAGATGGATTCACAGCCGAATTCTACCACAGGTACAAGGAGGAGCTGGTACCATTCCTTCTGAAACTATTCCAACCAATAGAAAAGGAGGGAATCTTCCCTAACTCGTTTTATGAGGCCAGCATCATCCTGATACCAAGCCTGGTAGAGAAACAACAAAAACAGAGAATTTTAGACCAATATCCCTGATGAACATCGATGCAAAAATCCTCAATAAAATATTGGCAAACCGAATCCAGCAGCACATCAAAAAGCTTACCCACCATGAGCCACCACTTGGGCTTCATCCCTGGGATGCAAGGCTGGTTAAACATATGCAAATAAATAAATGTAATCCAGCATATAAACAGAACCAAAGACAAAAACCACATGATTATCCCAATAGATGCAGAAAAGGCCTTCAATAAACTTCAACAGCATTTCATGCTAAAAACTCTCAATAAATTAGGTATTGATGGGACGTATCTCAAAATAATAAGAGCTATTTATGACAAACCCACAGTCAATATCATACTGAATGGGCAAAAACTGGAAGCATTCCCTTTGAAAACTGGCACAAGACAGGGATGCCCTCTCTCACCACTCCTATTTAACATAGTGTTGGAAGTTCTGGCCAGGGCAATCAGGCAGGAGAAAGAAATAAAGGGTATTAAATCAGGAAAAGAGGAAGTCAAATTGTCCCTGTTTGCAGATGACATGATTGTGTATCTAGAAAACCGCATCGTCTCAGCCCAAAATCTCCTTAAGCTGATAAGCAACTTCAGCAAAGTCTCAGGATACAAAATCAATGTGCAAAAATCATAAGCATTCTTACACACCAATAACAGACAAACAGAGAGCCAAATCATGAGTGAACTCCCATTCACAATTGCTTCAAAGAGAATAAAATACCTAGGAATCCAACTTACAAGGGATGTGAAGGACCTCTTCAGGAAGAACTACAAACCACTGCTCAGTGAATAAAAGAGGATACAAACAAATGGAAGAACATGCCATGCTCATGGGTAGGAAGAATCAATATCGTGAAAATGGCCATACTGCCCAAGGTAATTTATAGATTCAATGCCATCCCCATCAAGCTACCAATGACTTTCTTCACAGAATTGGAAAAAACTACTTTAAAGTTCATATGGAACCAAAAAAGAGCCCGCATTGCCAAGTCAATCCTAAGCCAAAAGAACAAAGCTGGAGGCATCATGCTACCTGACTTCAAACAATACTACAAGGCTACAGTCACCAAAACAGCATGGTACTGGTACCAAAACAGAGATATAGATCAATGGAACAGAACAGAGCCCTCAGAAATAATGCCACATATCTACAACTGTCTGATCTTTGACAAACCTGACAAAAACAAGTAATGGGGAAAGGATTCCCTATTTAATAAATGGTGCTGGGAAAACTGGCTAGCCATATGTAGAAAGCTGAAATTGGATCCCTTCCTTACACCTTATACTAAAATTAATTCAAGATGGATTAAAGACTTAAATGTTAGACCTAAAACCATAAAAACCCTAGAAGAAAACCTAGGCAATACCAATCAGGACATAGGCATGGACAAGGACTTCATGTCTAAAACACCAAAAGCAATGACAACAAAAGCCAAAATTGACAAATGGGATCTAATTAAACTAAATAGCTTCTGCACAGCAAAAGAAACTACCATCAGAGTGAACAGGCAACCTACAAAATGGGAGAAAACTTTTGCAATCTACTCATCTGACAAAGGGCTAACATCCAGAATCTACTATGAACTCAAACAAATTTACAAGAAAAAAAAACAAACAATCCCATCAAAAAGTGGGCTAAAGGATATGAACAGACACTTCTCAAAAGAAGACATTTATGCAGCCAACAGACACATGAAAAAATGCTCATCACTGGCCATCAGAGAAATGCAAATCAAAACCACAATGAGATACCATCTCACACCAGTTAGAATGGCAATCATTAAAAAGTCAGGAAACAACAGGTGCTGGAGAGGATGTGGAGAAATAGGAACACTTTTACACTGTTGGTGGGACTGTAAACTAGTTCAGCCATTGTGGAAGTCAGTGTGGCCATTCTTCAGGGATCTAGAACTAGAAGTACCATTTGACCCACCTATCCCATTACTGGGTATATACCCAAAGGATTATAAATCATGCTGCTACAAAGACACATGCACACGTAATTTTATTGCGGCACTATTCACAATAGCAAAGACTTGGAACCAACCCAAATGTCCAACAATGATAGACTGGATTAAGGAAATGTGGCACATATACACCATGGAATACTCTGCAGCCATAAAAAATGATGAGTTCATGTCCTTTGTAGGGACATGAATGAAGCTGGAAACCATCATTCTCAGCAAACTGTTGCAAGGACAAAAAACCAAACATCACATGTTCTCACTCATAGGTGGGAATTGAACAATGAGAACACATGGACACAGGAAGGGGAACATCACACACTGGGGCCTGTTGTGGGGTCGGGGGTGTGGGGAGGGATAGCATTAGGAGATATACCTAATGTTAAATGACGAGTTAATGAGTGCAGCACACCAACATGGCACATGTGTATATATATAACAAACCTGCACGTTGTGCACGTGTACCCTAAAACTTAAAGTATAATAAAAAAAAAAAAAAAAAACACAAGATTAGCCTATAATCCCCAGCACTTTGGGAGGCCGAGGTGGGCGGATCACGAGGTCAGGAGATCGAGACCAACCTGGCTAACACAGTGAAACCCCATCTCAACTAAAAATATGAAAAATTAGCCAGGCGTGGTGGTGGGCGCCTGTAGTCCTAGCTACTCGGGAGGCTGAGGCAGGAGAATGGCGTGAGCCCAGGAGGCGGAGCTTGCAGTGAGCCGAGATTGTGCCACTGCACTCCAGCCTGGGGCACAAAGCAAGACTCTGTCTCAAAAAAAAAAAAAATACAAGATTAATAAAATGGGATCAGAAATACAATACATGCTGATTCCAAGAGAAATACCTAAAGCACAATGATTCAAATATGACAAATACTTTTCAGGTAAACTCATAAGAATAGTAATCAAAAAGTGTCACACCAATATTCAATAAAGTAGATTTAAGGTATACAATGTTAAATTGGAAAATGATCATTTCATATTGGCAAAATATTGAGCCCTAATGAAGTTGTGGCTTACATAAGTGCATAAAGCAAAACTTAAGAGAAGATGGCCAAGCATGTGCCCAATTCAGTGTTGTGTATGTGTCTGGGTAACACATACACCCATTGCAGTCAGTCACTTGTTTGCAGAAGCAATTTTCAGAAAGGTTGTAATGAACAAAATGTTTCAGATATTTTGGAGGATAGACTGTGCAGTGACCTCCACATATGAAATAGGAAACCCTCCAGATTACAGGGAGGAAAATTGCATGAAGAAGCATGGTATGCCCATGAATCACATGGCTCAGCAGATTATCAAAGAAGACTTTACCACATTTGATTATATACCATATATCAATGAAAGCAACTTGAGAGATTTGAATAGAAAATTTCCTCAAGTTAAAAACTGCAAAGCTAAAATTGAACTACTTGGGTGCTATGATTCACCAAAACAACTTGTTATTGAAAACCCCTGTTAAGGGAATGACCCTGACTTTGAGATGGTATACCAGCAATGTGTCAGGTGCTGCAGAGCATTCTTGGAAAAGGCCCACCGAGGCTGGGCTTATGCCCTGCTGCAGCCAACAGTGACAAGACCCCACCTGAGGTTCTGCATTTCTCAGTCAGTGTGCTAAAGTGCAATAATGTTCTACAGCTTGATACCCCAGCTCTTCCTTCAGTTGACTTACTGTTTCTTATCTTAAAAAATAATTGTAGATGGAAATCAGTTGTGTTTGGCTGAACAATAAATAAAAATATTTGATTCAGACAGTTTATGGGGTATATTAAGCATTCTTGGACTAGTTGAACCTTTCACTTTGGCCCAATTACAAGACTAGTGGAACATACAACATATAGGGCAATAAATTAAAGCAAAATAAAGTAAAACATCACTTGAAGACCTATGTAACATCTAAGCCCATCAAGACTTAGAGAATTTAGTCTACCTCTTCAATTAATTTGTGTGAATAGCTTGATGAAGGACAAGTGCCCTCCACTCACCTACGCTGTCTCTCTCTTTTAGCCCATGGAGCTCATAGTCTGGATTAGAATTATTTTAATTCACTCACACCGATAGTGCACAATTGTATATTTAAAAGATAAGAAAGAGAGGAAAATGTATTAAATCAATATTTGGCACTTTTCATACCTCTTAATTTTTGTCTAGGTTATTTCATGAGGAGGAATATAGACCATAGCTAAACCAGAATAGAAGTATTCCTCTTTGCTGTTCTATATGTCTGTTGAGTGATATGTCTATATTTACATCCACATGTAACCCAAATGTCAAATACAAATTTACTTAGGTGATAAAAAACAATTTAAAAGTTGAAAAAAAATACCACAAAACATTGCTAAAAAGAAATTAAAGGCACAAATAAATAGACATCTTATGCTAATGGATTGGAAGACTTAATATTTTAAGATGGCAATACTGTTCAGAATGATCTACTAATTCAATGCAATCTCTAACAAAATTCCAATGACATTTTTTGTAGAAATAAAAAAAACTAAAATTGGTACAAGATTTCAAGGGACCCCCAAATAGCCAAAACGTCTTGGAAAAAAACACAATTGAAGGTCTCACATTTTATGATTTCCAAATGTAATTCAAAGCTATGATAATAAAAAACAATGTAGTATTGGTAGGAAGACAGATATATAGACCAGTGGAATAGACTAGTGATCCCTGAAATAAACCCTCTTGGGTATGGTCAAATGATTTTCGATGAGGGTGCCAAGACAATTCAAAGAAGAAAGGATAGTCTTTCAACAAATCGTAATGGGAAAACTGGATATCCACATGCAGAAAAATGCAGCTGTACCCTTGCCTTACACCATACACAAAAATTAACTCAAACTGGCTCAAAGATTTAAATTTAACACTAAAATCATAAAACTCCCAGAAGAAAACATAGAGGAAAGCTTTATGACGTTAGATTTGGCAATGAATATTATACCTAAAGTACAGGCAACAAGAGACAAAGGGATAATCTGGACTTCAACAAAATTAAAAACTTTTCTGCATCAAAAGACACTATCAGCAGAGTGAAAAGGCAACCTGCTAATAGAAAAATATTTGTAAATCATATATATGATAATGGATTAATATCTGGAATGTATAAAGAACCCCTTCAACTTAATAACAAAGAAAACCCATAAATGATTCAATTAAAAATAGACAAAGAACTTGAATAACATTTCTCCAAAGGAGATATGCAAATTTGACAATAAACACATACAAATGCACAAAATTTTAAATTGTGGAAATGCAAACCATAACCACAATGAGATGCTACTTCACATCCATTGAAATGGCTATTTAAAAAAACAGACAAACAAACAAAAAGCAGATAACAACAAGTGTCGGCAACAATTTGGAGAAATTGGATTTCTTGTGCATTGCTGGTGGGAATGTAAAATGATGCAGCTGCTGTAGAAAACTGTATGGTTATTCTTCAAAAAAATTAAACATAGGATTACCATATGATCCAGCAATTTTACTTCTGGGTATATACACCGAAGAATTAAAAGCAGGCATTGAACAGGTATTTGTACACCCATGTTTATAACGGCAGTATTTACAACAGCTAAAATGTGAAAGCAATCCAAGATTCCACTGATAGATGAATGGATAAATAAAATATGATATATACATTCAATGTGATATTATTCAGCCTTAAAAAGGAAGGATATTCTTACACAAGCTACAACATGGATGAATCTTGAAACCAAGAAAGTGAAATGGAAATAAGCCATTCATAAAAAACAATTGCCATATAATGCTATTAATATGAGGTACCTAGAGTAGTCAAATTTATACAGACAGAAAATAGAATGGTGGTTTCCAGCATCCAGAGAAAATGGGAAATTAGTTCTTTCATAGGTACAGATTATTAGTTATGCAAGATGAAGTTTTCTGGAGATAGATGGTAATGTTGATTGTGACAATGTGAATATACTTAGTGCCACTAAACTATACATTTAGAAATTCTTAAAATAATAGGTTTTATGTTATGTATATTTTACCAATAAAAATTTAAATCAGAATAAACACATAATTTAGTAATATCTTCTAATACCTAAAGTTGTTCTTAAAACTTGTGAAGTTTATTCAACAAGTAAAAAAATAACAAATTTAAAACTAAATATAGAAGATTATCTACTGAATCAATTAAAAGTATTAAAATTAACTCCTAAAAAAGAGCACATCAAACAGTTTTATAAAAGAATTAAGGTCAGGGTGTAGGTGGAACAGAACTATATAAGAGCATAACTTTTGTATATTATTGAACTAAAGTTGGTATTAATCCAACACAAATTGTTATTAAGATGTTAATTGTAGTGTCCTGTGCAACTACTAAGAATATAATAATAATAATACATATGATGTGTGTACATATACATATATATATCAAGGGAGTTAAAATGGTAAAGAAAAAATATCCATTTAACACAAAAGAAGGCAGTAACAGAAAACATGAGGAACACAAATGATGTAAGTCATATAGAAATCAAATAGCAAAATGGTAGAGCTAAGTCCTTTCTTAGAAATTATATTAAATATAAGTGGATTAAACATTTACTTAAAAGTAGAGATTAGCATAATGATTTAAAAAACATGATCCAACTATATGCTCTGTACAGGTGCCTCACTGTGGATTCAGACAAGCACACTGAAAGAAAAAAGATGGAAAAAGATATTCCATGCAAGTGGTGATAGAATAGGTTGACTATACTTATATCCAACAAAATAGACACATGTGTACATATACACATATGCACTCAACATTACAACACATAAATATGTTATGTAAATTTTGACAAAACTGAAGGGAGAAATAGCGATACAAGAATACTTGGGGACATCAATGCCCCACTTTCAACAATGGAAAGATCATCCAGGCAGAAAGTCAATAAGTAAAAGCAGACTTGCACAACAATATAGACCAGATGGACCTAACAAACATATACAGAACATTCCATCCAATAACCACAGAATACACATTCTTTTTCAACTTTCATGGAACATTCTCCAGGATATATTACCTGTTAGACCACAAAACAAGTTTAACAAATTTAAGAAGACTGAAATCATATCAAGTATCTTCACCAGCCACAATGCTATGAAACTAGAAATCAATAACCGGAGGAAAATAAGAAAATTTATAAAATGTGGAAATTAAACACATCCCTGAAACAACAAGTAGATCATAGAAAAAATCAAAAGGGATACTAAAAAAAATTCTTGAGGCAAATAAAAATGGAAACACAAACATACCAAAAATAATAGGATGCAGCAAGAGCCCCTCTAAGAAGGAAGTTAATGTTGATTAAAACTACATTAAAAAAGAAACCTTTTAAATATTCTAACTTTATATCTCAAGGAACTACAAAAAGAAGAACAAACGAAGCCCAAAGTTAGCAGAAAGAGGAAAATAATAAAGATCGGGGCAGAAATAAATAAAATAGAGACTAGAAAGACACTACCAAAGGTCAATGAAACTAAGATTGGCTTTTTTGGAAAGATAAACAAAATTGGAAAACCTTTAGCTAGACTAAGAAAAAGGTGGGAAGTTTCAAAGAAAAAAAATTATAAATGAAAAAGAAGCAACCAATACCACAGAAATAGAAAGGGTCATAAGAGAACACTATAAACAATTTTTCAACAGCAAACTGAATAATTTCGAAGAAATGGATAAATTTCTAGAAACGTACAACCTACTGAGACTGATTGCTGAAGAAATAGAAAATCTGAGCATACTAATAGTGGGTAATAAGATTGAAACAGTAATCAGAAACCTCCCAAGAAAGAAAAATGCCAATCCTTCTCAAACACTTCCAAAAAAATTGAAGGGAACACTTTCAAACTCATTTTACAAGACCACCATTACACCTTTATATCAAAGCCTGACAAGGAATCTTCAAGAAAAGAAAACTACAGGCTAATATCCCAGATGAGCATAGATGTGCAAATCTTCAACAAAATGCTAACAAACCTAATTCAATAGCACATTAAAAAAAAAAAAAACATATCCCATGATCAAGTGGAACTTACCCCCAGGATGCAAGAATGGCTTAACATACAAAAATCAAGATATGAGATACACTACATTAACAAAATGAGGGAAACAAATTATATATTCATCTCAAAAGATGTAGAAAAATCATTAGAGAAAATTTAACATCTTTCATGATAAAAATTTTCAGCAAATTAAGACTAAATGTCATGTACCTTAACATCATAAAGGCTATATATGAAGCCTATGGCTAACATCATACTCAGCAGTAAAAAGCTAAAAGCATTTCCTGCAAGATCAGGAACAAAACAAGGGTGCCCACTCTCACCATATCTATTCAACATAGAACTGGAAGGCATGGTCAGAACAATTAGGCAATACAAAGAAATAAAAGATAAAGAAAATGTGATACATATACACCACGGAATACTATGCAGCCATAAAAAAGAAGAAGATAATATTCTTTGCAGCAACATGGATAGAGCTAAAGGCCATTATTCGAAGCAAACTAACAGAGGAACAGAAAACTAAATACCACATGTTTTTACTTATAAATGGAAGTTAAACAACAAGAACACATGGATAGATACGAGAGGAACAACAGAACTGGGACCTATTTGAGGGTGGAGGTTAGGAGGAAGGAGCGTATCAGAAAAAAATGGCTATCAAGTACTATGTTTATCTGAGTGATGAAATTATCTGTACATCAAACCCCCATGACATACAGTTTATCTATAAACAAACCTGTACATGTACCCCGAACCTAAAAGTTTTTTTTTAAAAAAAGAAATAAAAGACATTCAAATCAGAGAGAAAGAAGTAAAACTGCATATATTTGCAGATGACGTGATCTATAAAGAAAATCCTTGACCTCACCAAACAAATGCAGGAACTAATAATAGTGCAGTAAATTTGCAGGATACAAAATAAACATACAAAAATCAGGAATATTTCTATAAACTAACAACAACGTATTTGCAAACAAATCAAAAAACAATTCTATTTAAAATAGCATAAAAATAAAATTCTGGTGTATAAATTACACCAAGGAGGTGAAAAATCTGTATGCCATGCTGTAAACTATAAAACATTGGTGAAAAAACTGAAGAAGACACAAATAAATGGAAAGATGTCCTATATTCATGGATTGGAAAAATTAATACTATTAATATGTTAATACCACCCAAAGTGATCTATAGATTTGGTATAACCCCTACCAAAATACCAATGACATTCTTCACAGAAATGGAAAAAAAATCGTAAAATTCCTGTGACCACAAAAGTCCTCTGAATACCAATGCAATCTTAAACAAGAGAAGCAAATCTGAAGACATCACACTACCTGATTTCGAAATACAGTATAGAGTATAGTAATTAAAACAATATAGTATTGGCATAAAAACAGATATATAGACGAATGAAAGAGAATACAGCCTAGAAATAAATTCACACATTTACAGTCAATTGATCTTTGACAAAGTTGCAAAGAACACACAATGGGGAAGACAGTCTCTTTAGTAAATGATGTTGGAGAAACTGAATATCTGCACACAAAAGAATGAAAATAGACTCTTATTTCACACCATACACAAAAATCAACTCAAAATAAATTAAAAACTTAAATGTAAGAGCTGAAGCTGTAAAACTTCCAGAAGAAAAAAAGCTTTTTGACATTGGTCTGGGGCGTGATTTTTTGGATGTGACCCAAAAGCACAGGCAACAAAAGCAACAATAGATAAATGGGACTGAATCAAATTTTAAAATCCTACACATAGCAAAGTAAACAATCTACAAAGTGAAGAGACAACTTGCAAAATGACAGAAAATCAAATAATGTGCTAATATCCAAAATATATAAGGAAATCAAAAACTCACTAACCACAAAACAAATAGTTTAATTTAAAAATGGGCAAGGACCTGAATAGACATTTCTCAAAAGAAGACATATAAATGACCAAAAGATATACGAAAAAATATTCAACATAACTAATCATCAGGGAAATACAAATGAAAACTACAATGAGGTATCACCTTACACCTGTTAGAATGGCTATGATAAAAAAAAGACAAAAGATAACAAGTGATGATGAGAATATGGAAAACAGTATGGCAATTTCTCAAAAACTTAAATATAGAAGTACCGTATGATCCAGTGATCCTACTTCTTAATACAGAGCCAAAGAAGATGAAATCAGTATCTTGAAGAGATATTTGTCTGCACTACCATGTTCATTGCAGCATTATTAGAAATTGGCAAGATATAGAACTAACCTTTTTTTTTTTTTCTTTTGAGACGGAGTCTAACTCTATTGCCCAGGCTGGAGTGCAGTGGCATGATCTCGGCTCACTGCAACCTCCACCTCTCAGGTTCAAGTGATTCTCCTGCCTCAGCCTCCTGAGTAGCTGGGATCACAGGTGCCCGCCACCATGCCTGGCTGCTTTTTGTATTTTTACTAGAGACTGGGTTTCACCATGTTTGCCAGGCTGGTCTTGAACTCCTGACCTCAGGTGATTCACCAGTCTCAGCCTCCCAAAGTGCTCGATTACAGGCGTGAGACACTGCACCCAGCCAGAATCAACCTAACTTTTTATCTGCAAATAATTGGACATTATTGTCCCTTTGTAGGGACATGGATGAAGCTGGAAACCATCATTCTGAGCAAACTATCGCAAGGACAAAAAAAACAAACACCGCATGTTCTCACTCATAGGTGGGAATTGAACAATGAGAACACATGGACACAGGAAGGGCAACATCACACACCGGGGACTGTTGTGGGGTGGGCGGAGGCGGGAGGGATAGCATTGGGAGATATACCTAATGCTAAATGACGAGTTAATGGGTGCAGCACACCAACATGGCACATGTATACATATGTAACAAACCTGCACGTTGTGCACATGTACCCTAAAACTTAAAGTATAATAATAATAAAATAAAATAAAAAAGAAAATGTGATATATTATATATGTACATATATAACGTATATAAATGTGATTATATATTATATATACACATATACAATGTACATAATGTAATTATTTGTATATATTATATATACATATATAATATATAAATGTGATACATTATATATAATTAATATATACAATATATAAATAAAATATATTTCCATTGTGACAACATGGGTGAACCTAGAGGATATTATGTTACGTTAACTCAAATATTATATTATGTTAACTCAAATAAGCTAGGCACAGAAAGACACATACTGAATGCTCTCACTTATATTTGGAATCTAAAGAGTCAAACTCATAGAAGCGGAGAGTTTATTGGTTGCCAGAGAATGGTGGTTGCCAGGGACTGGAGTGTGGGGGAATTATGAGCTTTTTGTCAAAGAGTACAGAATTTCAGTTAGGTATGATGAATAAGATCTGGAGATATAATGTACAGCATGGTGCTATAGTTAATAAAATTGTGTTATACATTTGAGATTGGCTAAAACAGCAGATCTTAAATATTCTCATCACATGCAAAAAACTGATAACTGTGTGAGGTAACAGATATGTTACTTAGCTTCATTTTAGTAATCATTTCGTAGTGCACATGCAAACGGTATATTCAATGGAAGAAGAACAGTCTTTTCAACAAATAGTGCTGGAGGAATTAAGTGTCTGTATTAGTTTGTTTTCATGCTGCTGATAAAGACATACCTGAAACTGGGAACAAAAAAAAAAAAGGTTTAATTGGACTTAAAGTTCCAAATGGCTGGGGAGGCCTCAGAATCATGATGGGAGGCAAAAGGCTCTTCTTACATGGCGTAGGCAAGAGAAAATGAGGGAGAAGCAAAAGCAGAAAGCCCTGATAAACCCATCAGATCTCGTGAGACTATTCGCTATCACAAGAATAGCATGGGAAAGGCCGGCCCCCATGATTCAATTACCTCTCCCTGGATCCCTCCTGGGAATTCTGGGAGATACAATTCAAGCTGAGATTTGGATGGAGGCAGAGCCAAACCATATTATTCCATTCCTGGCCCCTCCAAATGTCATGTCCTCACATTTCAAAAGGAATCATGCCTTCCCAACAATCCTCCAAAGTCTTAACTCATTTCAGCATTAATCCAAAAGTTCACAGTCCAAAGTCTCATCTGAGACAAGGCAAGTCCCTTCCACTCATGAGCCTGTAAAATCAAAAGCAAGCTAGTTACTTCCTAGATACAATGGAGATACAGGTATTGGGTAAATACAGCCATTCTAAATGGGAGAAATTGGCCACAACAAAGGGGTTACAGGGCCCATGCAAGTCCGAAATCCAGTGGGCAGTCAGATTTTAAGCTCCAAAATGATCTTTGACTCCAGGTCTCACATCCAAGACACACTGATGCAAAAGGTTGGTTTCCATGGTCTTGGGCAACTCCGCCCCTGTGGCTTTGCAGGGTACAGCCTCCCTCATGGCTGCTTTCATGGGCTGGCATTGAGTGTCTGTGGCTTTTCCAGGCACACGGTGCAAGCTGTTAGTGGATTTACCATTCTGTGGTCAGGAGGATGGTGGCCCTCTTCTCACAGCTCCGCTAGGCAGTGCCCCAGTAGGGACTCTGTGTAGGGACTCCACATGACACATTTCCCTTCCGCATTGCCCTAGCAGAGGTTCTCCATGAGGGCCTCGCTTCTGAAGCAAACTTTTGCCTGGGCATCCAGGCATTTCTACACATCTTCTGAAATCTAGGCAAAGGTTCTCAAACCTCAACTCCTGACTCCTTGATTTCCACATATGGAGTCCACACCCCAGTAGGGACTCCAACCCCACATTTCCCTTCCACACTGCCCTAGCAGAGGTTCTCCATGAGGGCCTTGCCCCCGCAGCAAACTTCTGCCTGGGCATCCAGGCGTTTCTATACATCTTCTGAAATCTAGGCAGAGGTTCCTGAACCTCAATTCTTCACTTCTGTGCACCTGCAGGCTCAACACCACGTGAAAGCTGCCAAGGCTTGGGGCTTCCACCCTCTGAAGCCACAGCCCAAGCTCTGTGTTGGCCCCTTTCAGCCATGGTGGGAGCATTTGGGACACAGGGCACAAAGTCCCTAGGTTGCACACAGCACAGGGACCTAGGGCCCAGCCCATGACACCACATTTTGCTCCTGGGCCTCTGGGCCTGTGATGGGAGGGGCTGCCATGAAGGTCTCTGACATGGCCTGGAGACATTTTCCCCACGGTCTTGGGGATTAACAGTAGGCTCCTTGCTACTTGTGCAAATTTCTGCAGCTGGCTTGAATTTCTCCTCAAAACATGGGTGTTTCTTTTCTACTGCTTTGTCAGGCAGCAAATTTTCTGAATTTTTATGCTGTTTTCCTTTTAAAATGGAATGCTTTTAACAGCACCCAAGTCACCTCTTGAATGCTTTGCTGCTTAGAAATTTCCTCCACCAGATGCCCTAAATCATCTCTCTCAAGTTCAAAGTTTCACAAATCTCTAGGGCAGGGGCGAAATGCCGCTAGTCTCTTTGCTAAAACATAACAAGAGTCACCTTTGCTCCAGTTCCCGATAAGTTCCTCATCTCCACTTGAGACCACCTCAGCCTGGACCTTATTGTTTGTTTCACTATCAGCATTTTTGTCAAAGCCATTCAACAAGTCTCTAGGAGGTTCCAAACTTTCCCACATTTTTCTGTCTTCTTCTGAGCCGTCCAAACTGTTCCAACCTCTGCCTGTTACCCAATTCCAAAGTCGCTTCTACATTTTTGGGTATCTTTTCAGCAATGCCCCTCATTCAGTACCAATTTACTGTATTAGTTTGTTTTCACACTGCTGATAAAGACATACCCAAAACTGGGAACAAAAAAAAAGTTTTAATTGGACTTACAGTTTCACATGGATGGGGAAGCCTCAGAATCATGGTGGGAGGTGAAAGGCTCTTCTTACATGGTGGTGGCAAGAGAAAATGAGGAAGAAGCAAAAGCAGAAACCCCTGATAAACCCACATCAGATCTCGTGAGACTTATGCACTGTCATGAGAATAGCACAGGAAAGACAGGCCCCTATGATTCAATTACCTCTCCCTGGGTCCCTCCCACAACACGTGGGAATTCTGGGAAATATAATTCAGGTTGAGATTCGGGTGGGGGCACAGCCAAACCATATCAGTATCCATAGACTGAAAAAAAAGCCCTCAGCCTATGCCTCAAACTTCATACAGAAATTCACTCAAAATTGATTGTGGAATGAAATGTAAAATGTAAAAATATAAAAATGTTAGGAATTTTAAAACAAGAGAAAATCTTAAGGATCTCTGGATAGACAAAGACTTAACATCAAAAGAATGATCCGTGAAAGAACAAATTTCTAAATTTGACCTCATCAAAATTAAAACATTTTCTCAGTGAAAGACCCTGTTTACATCAAAATATCATGTTGTATACTGTAAATTTTTATTTGTCAATAATACCTCAAAAAGAAAAAATAAATAAATAAACTTAGCAAAAGATCAGGATAATAGTAAATGGTTACTTGCTTTATCAATGTTTTTGAGGAAAATATTTAGCCAACTAATTATTGAGCTGGGTTCAAACTCAGTCCACTATTAGAGTCACTGATACTTTGTTATTTATTAATTATTAAATGGGAAAATTTTAATTAATTGTGTTCTGTTAATTTTTCAGTTAGTCGATTTGCTCTGAATACAATTCTGAAATCCTTTAGGTGATAATTTTGAAAATAACAAAAAATACAAATGAGAAAAAATTTATATATATAGATGCACGTCCTAGAATAGCTAAAATAATGCTAACAAAGAAGATTAAAATGGGAGGAATCACTCTACCCTATAGTAAGGCTTACGCTATAGCTACTGTAATCATGATAGTATGGTGTTGGCAAAGGGACAATCACATATAACAATGGAACAGAATAGACAATTTAGATACATACAAATATGTCCAACTGTTTTCTCACAAAATACAAAAGCAATTCCATGGAGGACGGATAGCCTTTTCAACAAATAGTATTAAAGCTATTGGGCATCCATAGACCAAAACAAACAGACAAAAAAAAAAAAGAAAGAAAGAAAGAAAAGAAAAGAAGAGAAAAAAAAACCCCAAAACTCTCAACCTAAACCTCAAACTTTATAAAATTATCTCAAAATTGATTGTGGACTGAATTGTAAAATGCAAACGTTTTCAGTAAAAAATAAAAGTAGAAAATCTTCGGGGTCTCAGGCTAGGAAAAGACTTGACATCAAAAGCGTGATTCGTGAAATAAATAATTCTCTAAATTGAACCTCATCAAAATTAAAACCTTTTCATGGTGAAAAGACAAGAGTTTGAAAAGACAAGCTATAGAGTGGCAGCAAATATTTGCTGACCGCATATCTGACAAAGAACTAGTGTCTAAAATATATGAAGAACTTTCAAAACTCAAAAGTAATAAGCAATCCATTTAGAAAAGATAAAAACAGATATTTTATTGAAGGGGATATATACATAGCAAATAAGCACAAAAAAAGGTGTGCAACATCATTAGTCATTCAGGAATTGCAAAATAAAACCACAATGAAGTATGACTCCACACCTATCAGAATGGTAAAATGAAAAATAATGGCAACACCAAATGTCAGGAAAGATGCAGAGAAACTGGATTATTCTTACATCACTGGCAGAAATATAAAATGATACAGACACGCTGGAAAGCAGTTTGATACTTTCTTACAATACCCAACATGAACTTGCCATATGATCCAGCAATTGCACTCTTGGGTGTTTATCACATGTAAATGAAAACTCATGTTCATGCAAAAACCTGCACGCAAATGTTCATGGCAGCTTTTTTCATAATTGCCAAGAATTGGAAGCAACCCAGATGTCCTCCAATGGGGGAATAGTTAGACAAACTGTGGTATATGTGATATTACTCATATGTGGTATATGTGATATAATCAAAGCAGTGAACTACTAATACACATGAAAACGTGGACGAATCTCTAAGGAATTATGTTGAGTAAAAAAACCAAAGCCAAAAGGCATTATTCCATTTATATCACATACTGAAATGACAAAATTTTAGAGATGGAGTACAATTAATGGTTGCCAGAGTTGGGGACAGAGTGTCAGGGGAAGAAATGTGAAAAATATTTGGGTGGTTATAAAAGGACAACACAAAGGATCCTTGTGGTGATAGATCTGTTCAGTATTTTTACTGTGGTGCAGATACACAAGTTTATAAGTGATAAAATAGTATAGACCCGAATGCACACATACATATACACAGACACACAGAGAGATGAGTACAAGAGGGGAACAGTGAATAAAATCAGTCAACTGTATCAGTGTCAATACCCTGGTTTTGATATAATATTAGACTTTTGCAAAATGTTACCATTGAGAAAAGTGGGTAAAGGATCCCAGGAGACCTCTCTGCATTATTTCTTACAACTACATATGAATCTATAATTATCTCAATAAAAATGTCAATTTAATAAAGATATTAGACAATATCATACTGAATCTTGAATCCTAGGCAAGGAGTTTAAACTCTTTTCAATAGCTAGTTGAGACCCATAGAGGCTGGTTGAGTATGGACGACTTGATTAAGAGCTATGGATCAAAAGAACCAATATGATGACAGTGAGTGTGATGAATTAAAGGGATGTTACTAAAGGCAGTGAGTCAAAAAACCATAATCAGCGATCAAGTTAGAGGCAATATTGAAGCCAATATTGTACCCAATGAAGTGTACAACAGATCCATGCCTATGACCACTTCAACAACCACACATCCAACCAAATTCACTCTGTCCAAGTTCTTTTTTTTGTAATTTACACTATTTTTGGGAATCTGATCATAAAATACAGTCACTTCCAAGAGTTATTTCGCTATATTGAGCTCATTCTTTTATGCCATAATCTTAACATTTTGTAAACATGAAGACACATTTTTAGTCTTGGTTTCAATAATTTTATAATCATATAAATGTGCATGAAATATGTTTTCTACTTATTGTGGCAATTGGCATTTTTGAAAAAAATTATTTTAAGGTGTTCGAAGATTGAAAAAAGCATATATTAGACTTCTGGTTTAAATTAATTTTAACTAAATATTTATAAAATTTTGATTAAATAAGTTTGTAATCAATGTTTAAATGTCTGAGAAAATGTAATTTGTTAATTGATTTCTTAGCTTTGTAGCCAGCATTAAATTTTCAGGAAATATTATTTAATGAATTTATACATTTATGTAATTGTGCCTGAGATAAAATACAACAGGAGTGAAGCTCTTCTCCATGCACTAAAGATTCCAGGAGACCATCAGTTTGCAGATCAGGGCTCTCTCCATCATACCACACTGCCCTGGAAAGGTTTACATCCTCTTTAAAGCCTCTCTGAGCTGCTGGCTCCAGATCAAGGAGGAATAGGCTTACCTTATGGGGTTGTCCATCCTGGACACTGTGAGGAAGGCAGCAAGGTTGGCTGTGTAGGAGGAGCACACAATGAGCGTGAAGAGCCACCAGCTGCCCATCACGATGCGCATGGCCATGGAGTTCACGGAAGATTCGCCACCTGCGGGAGGCAGACAAAGTGGATTGGCCAGTGGCTTCTGCTCTCCCTCCTATCCCCAGGGAGGTGTTCTGCCCTGCAGCCAGGCACACAGGCCATCACTCGTGATGGGCTGGAACCAGGGAGGTGACTGTCAGCTGGGT
Organism: Homo sapiens; assembly: GCF_000001405.40. Classification (NCBI taxonomy): domain Eukaryota; kingdom Metazoa; phylum Chordata; class Mammalia; order Primates; family Hominidae; genus Homo; species Homo sapiens. The sequence goes on from NC_000010.11 coordinate 85,723,282, forward strand.
CTGGGCATCTGTGCCAATTCTGGGATAGGATCCTAAAACCATGGATCTTGGACAAGGGCAGAGGACCACAAAATATGAAAAAGTTAGGACTGGGCTTCTAGTGGTGCGAAGGTTGTCAAAACACCAAGGGTTGGGGTCTGAATATCAAAATCTTTCAGTTAGAAGATTCTACCTCACAGTGGTAAGAACTTCTAGGGCTGCAGCCTTATGTAAGATCCCTTTCCAATTTCAAATTCATATATAGCAGACTCGGGAATTCTGTAAATATAGAAATAACTCCTACTACATGGAGGGATCCCTGGCTTTCTTTTAAACCTGAGAAATGAGATGTCCCATATCACTTTTATTAGTATTCAGCCCTCATTAGATGGCTTTTCTTCCCCCAGAATTCTCAGAAATCAGGGCATGAGACTTTTAGTTAGAAGTTTAGCCTCTTTGAGGCCAATTATTTCTCCTTGGTCTCTAAAGTGTTAGGAGAAGAGAGCTTCTCACTGCTTATTCTCCTTACATAACCTCACAAAGCATTTGCCATGGTGCAAACAGGATGAAGACTCACATTAGAAACTTTGCAATTTGTTGCTCCAGTCAAAATGGCACAATCCTATAACTCACTAGTGGATAGAAGTACCATCCAGACCCCTCAGAGGTAGGAGAATTTGTACCTCAAGAATGGCTGAAGTACTGCTTAAATGATTGCAATACAATTGGGATTTTTTTTCCCCATTAAGTCATCAAATTTAAGCAAGATTCACAGTTTCATTGACAACCTCATGTGCATAGCAATCACTTTAATGTAGGAGGAGAGAAAAGTGCAAAGCAGGACTCCAAAGTTAATTTTATCTAAAGTGGAGAATCAGGAATTGAAGTTGAGCTCCTTATTGTTGTTTCATTTAATTTCTCTCTGATATTATTCAGAGAAATTGGGTGCAGCATGACATTTGTACTGTCCTAGAGATTAAGTAAAATTGCATTTGGAATGACTTTGGTAAAATGCACCTGAGAACTTTGCCAATGGATAAGTTCTTCCAGGCCCCTAGAGCTATTCAATGATCAGGAAACCAGAAAGGTACCTTGCTGTACGAAGGCTCCATAGACAATCCAGATGGCGCTGTGCAGAGTGGCAGAAGCTGACGGCCTGGGCTGGGCAGCACTCTGAGCCCTCACAGCCTGTATCCTGTTCAACACAAATATCAGCACACCAACCACAGGGATGGCTGCTGCAATGCAGGCCCACACAGCGAAATCAAATGGAGCAAAGAGGGAGAAGATGCTGATTTTCTCCTCGGGCTTCTTAATTAGAATCCCCACTGAATAGTCCATGTACCGCTTGCTGAAGTCCACAACGCTCTCCCTCTCTGGGGTGATGGTGATGGCAGAGATGGCCAAGTCTGCTCTCTGAAAGGCAAAGCCATCTCATTTAGACGGCAGTCCTCAGCTTACTGCTGGGTTCTGCCCTGGGTCAAGGTCCACCCTCTGTCCTTTGAGTTGCTCTGTTCAGAGGAATGGATTTGAGAGCTGGCACCCTGAGAGTCTGAATATTATAAGGAAAATCCAACACTAAGTTGTCTGTTACTATTTCCTTCACCTTACAAGTCTCTCTCTTCTAAAAACTTCAGGAAACTGCTTCTACAGAAAAGAGCCGAGTAAAGTATCTTCATTTCTCTACGAATTATAGTTTATCTTCACTTTGTTGTTTTCCTACCAAACTTTAGCTATCTTCTTTTTATTTTCCCTATGTTTCCCTCTACCCTCCACCAAGAAGGCCCTTCTATCTTCTAGGCCTGTGTGCATCCTCCCTACATGTTAAGACCAGAGGCACACTCCATTTCTTCATCACACCTCTCAGACTCTATTATCCCACATTGATCTTTCTCTTTTCTAAAACACTTCAGAAGTTATATGGTGAGTTCTACAACTATGTTAGACCTCATTAACATATTAGCCAGTGAGTGTTTCATATGTAGACTTCATGCCAGAGAGTAAAATACTGAAAGAATAAAGGGGTCATATATTTATTTCTATCTTCCACCACCCTTAATTCATGGCTTGCAAACCCACAGGTTTATTCTTCCATGGTAAAGCCATGGTGTGAAGAATCTCTCTGGATGTGCCCTACTATGACCTTAAAATTACCTCCCAAGATGTTTGCTTTCCAAAATGGGCTTCATTTTAAAAACAGACAGAAACCCCATTAAGATGGATCCAGACTGTGAGGAGAAAACTGCCAAGTTTGGGGCGATTACGGGTTTCATGTCCGGATGGGTGGATGCCAGGTGACAATGGGGCTTAGGGTCCTCCTTTAGTCACAAGAGCACTGAAAGGCAGTCATCATAATGATCTGGCCTCTTGACCCTCAAAGTGGGAGGCATCAGCAGAACTAGTTTCTTTTAGAATGACCAATAGTGACAACTGATTCAACCTCCAAGCTCAAACTGAGGAAACACACGTGGAAGGATTTTTTCAAGGTTTAATATGTAGGCTAGGGACAGATATACTCATGTCCTAAACAGAAATCTAATACTATACCTTGAGTAAAGGCAGCAAATAGGAAGTGACCCTATCAACACTCTCCTCTTACACTTGTCACACTGGCATCTCTGGTTCTTGCCTCTCTTCTAAAAACTCTAGCATCCAGGGACAATTTTTAGGATTAGGAAAGTTTGGAGCATATTTAAGGGCTTAAAAAGAGATTTAATGGAGCAGGATAGGCTTACAAGACAAAATGAAGGGAAACTAATTTATGAAGCAAGGTTCAAAGGAGGCACAAAGGAATCAACTCATGACACAGGTGGAGGGGTTGTCCTGTGACAGTGGGACAGACTGACAGGGGACAGGGGACACTCCCTTCTGTGGGAGATGGCAGGTGCCTGCAGATGTAAATTTCATAGGAATTAGAGGTACAATTTTATGCCCCAAAATCTCAGTTTATTTCCCCAATATAGAAGTACAATCATTTTTTTTTTTTTAGTTGGGAAGGATAGAAGATTCTTAGGTAGCTCAAGAAGAAAGGTAAACTTTTTAAACGGTCTCTGAGAGACATAGCCAAGGAGCCCAACAAAGGACAAGTTAAAAGATTCTGGCAGTACTGAAGGGCCCAGCTGATTTTGGAGACCACACAGGGTTTCTAAAGCAATCTGGACAGATTCACAATTTCCTTCTCTAATTTAGTGTAGCAACCTGGATTTCAGAGTGAAGAGGATAGATAATAGAATCCATTCAGGCTTAGGATGCAACAAAAAAATTAAGAACAGAGGGAGTCACAAGGGATGAAGGGAGGAGGGGTTTGTCTGGCCACCCATAGAGGACGCAGTATCAGAAAGGCACAGAAGCTGCAGAGAAGGATGGGCCTCAAATACACACACTACGTGGAAAGAACCAGACACAAAAGACCACATCTTGTGTGACTCCATTTACACAAAATGTTCACTGAAGCAACTCTATATAAGATAGAAAGTAGATTAATGGTTGCCTAGGGCTGGGGGTGGGAATGGCATTAACTATAAGTAGGTATGAAAGATATCAATGGCGTGACGGAAGTATTCTAAAACCAGATTATAATGAAGGTTGCACAACCCGGTATCTTTACTAAAAATCATTGAATTGTATATCTAAAATGGATAAATTTTATAGTATGTGAATTTATCACAGTAAAGGTGTTTCTGAAAAAGATTAATAGAAATCGGACGAATGACAAGCCTAGTGTCTGCCTTTACAGATTTAAAAAGCAAAGGGCCTGTGCTGTGAGAGTAAAAGTTCAAAAGAGTCAGAAGGACAACTTGTTGTGGTCATGCAGTGGGCTAGTGATGGTGACATGTAAGATGCTAACAAGATGCATGGGGGTGAACACTGGAGTGGAGTACAGCAAAGGTCCCTGGAGGCGAGGAGGTCAAAGTATTGGGAGTCCAGGGTTGTCCACAGGGATGTCAGAAATTGTCAGAATGGTGGCAGGAGAAATAATGGAGATGGAGGATTTGAGTCAGATGCCACCATGATAAATAATCATGGGGAAATGACCCAGTGTCATGAGATGACAAGAATGGGGACATGGTAAGTTGGCCTCATGCCACGAGTTTCAATGAAGATGCAGTTTCTACGGGAGGGAAGAAGAGTACAATTTAAATAAGTATGAGGACCTGGGGGATGCCACACCATCAACACATAGCAATGTAGACATACACACATATGTATGAATATCTAACCTGTGGTCTATAAGGGATAGGAGAATGAGCACTCATCAGTACCCCTGGTGGGAACTAGGTTTCTGCTTCACCCTAAACGTAGGGTAGGTTCCTTGAAGGGTGTGCTACAGAGTAGGCACAGTGGATGATAGACTTCAAAGGAATGACAGCAATGGGCAGGGAGGTAACATAGAGTGTCAGAGACGAGGAGATACAAGAGCAGAAATGGATGTAGCAGGGGATTTGAAGACAAAAGAGCCTTTGTGTGGGGAGAATGGTAACTGTGGTCTGTTTAGCTGGTCCCAAGGTTTCCACTGTGCAATTGGTCAAGTTTAGATATTACCCCAGAGGAAGACTAGGGTGCCCCTCCCCCTGGATCTGCTATGGGGACCTACCTTGCTGATGAGCTCCCCGATCATCCCGTTCCAGGAGGTGTTATGGAGCTGGTGACCGTACCTGCCATCAGGGGCTTGGTAAATCTCATATTTAAAGCCCAGAGCCTTGGCCAGTGCATCCAGGACATCTATGGAGAACCCTTTGTAGCGCTTGGGCTGTCCTAGGATGTTCTCAGCCACCATCACGAAAGGCTCTTCCTGAGGACAACAGAATGAAGGTTCTCCAATTAAATAACAGGTTCATCAACACATATTTCCAGTGTAATGTTAGAGAGAAAGATCTGATTAGAACATTTGCAGTTCCCCAATTTAGGACTTCAGGCTCAACTTCTCTGCCTTTTTCTAAAAGCAGTTTATGGACACTCAAGGAACAGTGCACAGGATGATCACTCCAATCAGTAGGTCCATACAGAGGAGTGGAGATTCATTTGTCCCGTGTCATCCCAGGCTCTGCCCCAACCCCTAGTTCCCTGAATAACATGGTTTGTTTTCCTTCCTCCGTTTGTAACATCCATGCAGAGCTAGGACTGTATCCTTAGAATATGCCAAAATTATATGAGGCCCACATAAGAAACATGCAACTTCTCATCCAGGATAGTAAGTGGCGATAAAGCTCTGTGACATTAGGTTGAGAGAAAAAGCATTATATCTACAGGCTATACTAGAAAGTGGATATGGATATGGATTAACTGACCAAGGCCAGACCAGAAGCCAAAGGGTAGGACAGAATTCAAACCCAGAGTTCCTAGTTCAAAGCCATGCCATGCTCACACCTGCACATGTTGTGCTATGCCACATGTGAGCGAGGTGGTCATCTGAAAAATGTCTTGGCACTCCCTACCATTCCCCTTCCTTCTTGTGTGAAACTGAACAAGGGGCCTTTGGCAAACAGCTCCAGGGAGTATAGCTCATTAATTTAGTTGTGTTGGGAAATAGGGTGTAAAGCTTATCTGTGGTGTGCAAACAGAGAATGCAGAAATACTGTTGCCAAAGGTTTCTAAGCCAAGGGAATGCTAGTGTCTGCTGGGAGAGAGGGGACGTTTGGGCACGTGTGACTCAGCCAATAAGAGGCAAGTCTATAATGTCTCCTGCAGTTTTTATAAAAATGTGAAAAAAGCAATTGAAAGGAAGATGCTTTTAAAGTCTCTTACAAATGCAAAAGTCTATGATTCCAGGACATCCATGCAGAAAAGTTGCAACTACCGAATGGTCTTCATTCTGAACTTGTGTCACTGTCACATGAGCCCATCACTGGTGTTGGGTGCTAAGAGAATGTCCTCCTCCAGCATCTATCTTGGGGTTCTGGCTACCAGAACAACTCTCCTAAGGACCAGTAGTGGGTCAAGATCCATTTTACATCCAAGAACAAATGGAGCAGCTTGGCCCCCTCTGGTCCTCAGAGGAAGCTGTGAATGAGAAGTCCTTTTCTAGAGCAGCTCAGGGACTTCCTTTGGAAGGCACAGAGGTCCTGGGGCAGAAACTTCAATCTCACTCTTCCTTTCATTATTCATACAATTATTTGAATGAAAGGCCTTATGAAAGCTCACAATACTCCTCAAGATTCTCTTCTCCCCAAACCCAGCATTAAACAGAAAGCAGCCTCTGATTCAACAGCCTGGATGGTGTAGCTCGCTCCCAGAATGTCCCCATGATCCTACCAAGACAGTCACCACTTTAAGAGTCAATCCTTGGAGGCGGCTGCCCATGGGCCTCTCTTGCAAGCTGCCATTCAAGCCCTTCTCTGAGTCCCATGTCGCCAACTGTGAAGGAAAAATAAAGATTGTGAGGGATGGAACTGGCACCCGTGCACACCATAGGACCTCGGCTCCTACACTGGGATCCTGAATTAGGCAGGTAGGTGAACAGTAGTCCCCTGGAGTTCCCAGAGACCCAGAGCCATTTTAAAACCCTAAAGAGAATAGATATATGGTAGACAGAGTTACATGTCCTCCTTCAGCTCGCCTGGATCTCTATAGAGCTCAGCACAGCCCTAAAATGAAACCAACTGGTGAGAACTTGTCTCTAGAACAAATGTTTATGTCCAGTTTTATTCTGTTCACCCACAGAGGCCATGTCACTGTGATGCCTGCAAAATACCCTCTTTCTTTAATTACTCCTTTGACTTGCCCAGGCCACAAGGCCCTTGAGTTCAGCCATTGCTCCCTCCATGGGTAGGATGAAGCTCAGCAGTAAAGCAAGTAGCAAACACTCAAGTGTACAGCTTGTCTTGCACCCCGGTGCCTATGGCAAGCAGGGTCAAGAGCTTCCTGCCTGTTTTCACTGTGGTGCCAGCTCCCTCATTTTCCTTGACAGGCAGGTAGAGGCTAATGGCAGAGTAAATGTGCTCTGAATCTGCTACATTCTCTTAAGCCTGCAGAGTATATCCAATAGCCAGAGGCATCTCTGATAGTCACCCTAAGGTGGTCAAGGAGAACCTACCTTGGCTCAGAAACAATGAGGAGACACAGTTGTTCATGAGACTGCTTCCCCTCCCTGCATCCTTGCAGGGTCTATACAACGACAAAACTTTTGTCTGGGAAACGATTCTCGACTATTAATGGGGAAGACATAACAAAATGCAGATACCCAGCCCCATCTCAAGTCAACTAAATCAGGATCTCAGGGCCTGAGCATAGGAAGTGTTAATGCCTCCTGAGTGCTCCTGATACTGCAGCCAATGTCGAGAACCCCTGCTCTTCTAGGTCACTGGGCCTCCAACTTGGCTGCATATTAGTATCTTTTAAGGGGGCTTTATAATGAAGTGTACTGAAAGTTGGGCCTTACCCCCAGAGCCTCTTATTTAATTGGTCTGTAGTGGACTAGAGATGGATATTTTAGCTCCCCAGGTGATTCTAATGCACAGCCAGAATTGTGAACCACTGCTGTAGATTAAAGCCATGATGCTCAAACTATGATATCCACACAAATCACCCAGGGATTTTGTATGCACTTTCTGATTCTGGGGCCTGAGATTATTCATGTCTAACAAGCTCCCAGGTGATGCTGCTGCTGCTGCTGCTAATCCATGGACCACAATTTAAATAGCAGGGGGCTAAAGGGTCAAACTGCCACAGGCAGTATATACTGTTGTCAGGGAAAATCCATAAGACCCCCTAGTTAACCTGAAGAGAAGAAGAACTCCAGTGGAAAAGTGCTACTGGGGGCCCTAAAGTAAAGAATGCTTCTACTCTGTCAGCATTTCCCATGGTCCTGACATCTGCAGCAGGGTCTGCACACTAAGCCCTGACTATAAGGCCATAGAACCTGAGGAGTCATTCCTCCTGGAAGAGACAACAACTCTGAGATGTAAAACCATCAGAATAAGAGATGGAGTTCTAGAGTCAGTTTTAAAGAAACCTGGAATTTCCTGTTGTCACCTTGGACATGATACCCACCAAGACCCACTCCATCCTGAATAATAGGGTGCCTTGGTGTGATGAATAAATAAATTAGTAAAAAACATGGCCATGTACCCCAAAGAACCACCCACCGCCACCACCACTAATTAATTTGGGGGCATTGAGATAAAGAACAAGTGAAGATCTACCCAAAATTCTGCTTAAAGACCTCGAAGATACCAAAATACCACACTTTGGGTAATGATACAGTTAAAAAAAAAAAAAGCAAAAATCATGGCTATTTCTCCATTGGACCTTAAAAAATAGGCTGAGAGCTGTGGCTTATGCCTGCAATCCCAGCATTTCGGGAGGCCAAGGTGGGTGGATCGCTTGAGTCCAGGAGTTCAAAACCAGCCTGGGCAATGTGGTGAAATACTGCCTCTATAAAAAATAAAAATAAATTAGCCAGTGTGGTGGCATACTCCTGTAGTCCCAGCTATTTGGGAGGCTGAGGTAGGAGGATCAATTGAGACCAGGAGGTCAAGACTGCAGGGAGCCACAATTGTGCCACTGCACTCCAGCCTGGGCAACAGAGTGAGACCCTGACAAAAAAAAAAAAAAGAAGAAGAAGGAAGGAAGGAAGGGAGGGAGGGAGGGAGGAAGAAAGGGAGGGAGGAAGGGATAAAGAAAGGGAGGTAGGGAGGGAGGGAGAAAGAAAGAGAAAGAAAGAAAGAGAGAGAGAGAAGGGAAGGGAAGGGAAAGGAAAAAGGAAAAAGGAAAGGAAAGGAAGAAATTGCATTAAGATACAGAATTGGTTCCTACAGCTGGATTAAAATGCTTGTCAGAGGGAAGAGGACAAATTCAGACAAATGGGGTCAAGGGGTTGATTGCCTCTATTCTTTGGATGTTCTACTATGGACTCACTGGGGCAGGAGTGGATATTTATTTGGGGTGCCTGCATCTGCACTCCCATAACTGCTTAGCCCAGGTGCTGGAGCTGCTTAGCCCTGATGTGTGTCCTGCTACTTCTCCTGGGTGTAGGTGGAGTTATAGAGGTCTTCTTGACCATCCCAATGGCTCACAGAGTCATAACAGAAGACATCTTGTCCTAATGATGATGTGACCATTCCAGGCACTCAATACTCTTATCCTGCACCAGGACCCAGATTCGTAACATCTGCTGCCAAACCTTCCTGGTACGGTGAAGGGGCATCTTAATTCTCTACTGTCTTGGCTTGGATGAGTGTTTGGAATGGAGCTCTGTGCATCTTGATCAACAAGGCTTTACCTGTCTTTCTACTGGGATTATAATCAGAAATTAGAATGGAGGATGGAGGCAGGAAGAAACAGTTGGGATGAAGCCCTGAACATCATTCTCTGCTTCTGGCTCACTGCTTGGCTCCAGGATGCACCACCTCAGTCCCCCTAGACCTTTGCAACAGCTTTCTCATTGGTTTCGCTGCTCTCAGCCTCTCTTATAGCACATCCTTCAACAGGCAAGTGGGTACCCTTACAACAAATAAACTCAAATATGAACTATATTAATTAAAATATTCTAATGAATTCCTTTTTCTTACAGAATAAATCCTAAGACTTTTCAGCTTGGCCTAAAAGAAAAGCCTTCCTCATCCAGAGCCAATCCTGACTCTCAACCTCACTTTAGTTTATGTAGTTACAGTACACTAAAATCCCCAAAATCCCTCCTTCTTTCTCAGGCACACCACATTCCCTCCTGATATTTGTATCTAGTTTTTCTCTGCCTGGAATGCCCTTTCTCCTCTTCTGGGTCTGGTAAACTCTTACTTGTTTGTTGAAATAAGATTTCACTTTAGAATAGTTTTAGATTTACAGAAAAGTTGTAGATATTGTACACAGAATGTCAATAGATCCATAAGCCAGTTTTTCCCATTAAGACATAACATTAGAATGACACATTTATCACAACTAATGAATGTTCAGCCCAATATCCATGATTTATGCAAATCTGCAATAGAAATGAAATAGAAGGACCTCCAGTTCCTTCTACTCTTGGCATAAGTCAGTGAGTCAGCTGTGGCATTGGGGTTTCTTGCCATGTTCTCTGGGGTCAAAACTCTGTCTTCATAAGCTGTCTAGAGCCTCAGGCTCTTGGGCTAGACCTGGCCTTGCTCATTCCCATCTCAGGATCTCCAACCTTGCCTCGAATTCCAGGCTCTCCTCTCCAACATTAACTTCTGTAACTGGAGAAGAAGATGGGAACTTGGAGGTGTGAACTTAGCAGATGTTCATGAGTCAGTAGACCTATGTTCTAATTGTTGTCACCACTTACCTGAGTGACCTCAGATAGCACTTGACAGCACAATGCTTGAAACATAGAAAGAGTCAACAAATATTTTTGTATACAAAAAAATACAGAAAAATGTGTTGAGATTACAGGCGTGAGCCACTGTGCCCAGCTGATTCTATTTTCTTATCTATGAAATGGGAAATAAAAATCTTCCTTGCCTACAAATTGAGGGGCTGTTCAAAGAAGAAAATAACTTTGAAACAGTCTATTATAAAATAGCTTAATTAAGAATCACAAAGTAAAGAACCAGGATATAAAACTGTATACAATATGACCTCAATTATGTTTTTTTAAAAGCAGTGGTAAAAACGGGAGAAGACACGTTAAAATGTGATACGTGGATATATGTGTTACATATAGGTGATGGAATTATAAGTAATCATTATTACCTTCTTTATCCTCTTCCTGATTTTAACAGGATTTTCACTAATAGGAAGTAAAATAAGCTTTTGATAAAAATAACTAGCATAGATGATTAAGCAATATCCTATCACATGCACTTGTACGACTCAAAACTGCATGATAGGGGAGCAATTGGAGTCAAATTACCTGTCAGTATGTCAAGGCCAATCTGAGAGTCAGAACCCAATAAATCAGTGCTTTGGCTGTAAGGAATTTTGGTCTAGGGGTGCTTTATCTCCTAGAGGGGGCATATGGCTAGTTTGGCCAGCACAGCATCTCATATTCTAGGATCTCTCCAAGATGGTGGGAGCTCTGTAAACTGTTGAGTTGGGAGATAGGAAGTGGCCACAGCTGAGGCCCAGATCCATGAAGATAAGCAATCCAAGTAATCTTTCTCTGCTGAGAAAGAGGAGCAGCTTCAAATCATTTTAGTTAATATTCAGACAACCTTAATACGAGAAGGCCATGTAAATTAAAATGGAATTTCATGAAGGAAAAAAAATTCTTCCAAGCCTATTATCATGCTTCTCTCTTTATCTAAAAGTGGTTAGGAATTAAAAGTATTTTTGTTTTGTTTTGCTTTAATACAGACTTCTGTCTCCCTGGCCTTTAGGCATCCTGTACCCTGATAAAGCAAGAAAAAAAATACTTCAAAGCAAAAAATCAAAATTCTGCCTTTCAAACACATCAAAGTTCAACTATGTTCCAGGATTCAGGATCCTTCATATTGGGTAGGAAACTTTATTATTCCCTCACATCAGACAGAAGCCAAGTGCCCCAGGCTGAGTGAATCTCCCCATTTCCACAAAACTGTGTGATCTTGCCCAAATCTTAAGACAAGAGTGGTAAACCTCCATCATTACTGGTCAAGGCCATCCGTCTGCAATCCAAAATATAAGGCCAGAACATAGAAAAGCACGGTTCACAAGAAATAATCCAGTGGAATTTTTTTTATGTAAATGAAGGCTTTAAATGGATCACCAGCCTTGTAGTCACCCAAGATTAGGAGAGACATGCATCCCTCCCCCATCCTGAGGGGGTCTGGCGCTCGCCACTCTGAATGCTCAGGAAAATGTTTCAGTCAATAAAAGCCAAACGAGGCCGATGGGCTTGATAAGTGGGAAGCCAGAAAAAGCTTTCATCCAAAGAAGTCCCAACACTTAGTCATACAGCTCCAGACCATTTCATTTGTACATGAGTGAGTCTACTCTGACTTCCCCTTGTATTTTGCAGACAGAATTTTGTTTACAGGATCGATGAATTTATGGCCGCACACACCCACTTTTGACAGCTGACCTGTCAAGATCAGTGCCTGAAAAACTAATTTCCAGCACTATTAAACAAAACAAGTACTGCTGCTATTTGATAAGACAGCTACGGTTTTCATTCATTGCTGAGATCTGCTCTACCCAAACCAGAAATGTGGATGGAGCCAGAGGTTATAGCACAATCATCACTTGAAAGGAGATATATGGCCTCAAAATCTGATTATGACAAACAACTGTGCAAGAGATCAGCCAATTGGAGAATATATTTCACAAACCACTGGTCTCAGGAAAATATATTTCCCAAGTCAACCAGGATGTTCTTCAAGTTAGTGTTTCTGAGTTGTAAGATGTGGGCATTTGGGACTCTGTGGCCCTGTCCTTAATAAATGCAGGGTTATTAACCCTAAATGGGACAGGCATCCTTTGGAAGATTGGGCTTTGTGTTCTGTAGACTAGTTATAAAGGTGTCTTAAAGTGTCATTCTCTTTTCATGGGGAGGAAGAATAGAAACGGGTGGCAATCTTACTGTTTTACAGCCCAGAGACAAAATATAACCAATTTCATATAGAGAGCATTGTAAATTCCTGCGAAGGGAAGGAGAGAGGAAGGGAGGAAGGAAGGAGGGATGGAGGGATGCAGGGAAGGAAAGAAGGAAGGGAGGAAGGAAGGAAGGAAGGAAGGAGAGAAGGATGGAGGGAGGGAAGGAGGGAAAGGGAGGAAGCAAGAGAAGGAAGGAAGGAGAGAAGGCAGGAGGGAGAGAAGGAGGGAGAAAGTGAAGAAGGGAGAGAGGGAGAAAGGGAGGGAGGGAGCAAGGGAAGGAAGGAGGGAGGGAGGGAAGGAGGGAAGTAGGGAGGGAGAAAGGAAAGAAGGAAGGAGAGAGGGAAGGAAGGAGAGAAGGAAGGAAGGAAGGAGAGAAGGAAGGAACGAAGGAGGGAGGGAGAAAGGAAGGAGAGAAGGAAGGAAGGAGGGAGGGAGGGACACAGGAAGAAAGGAAGGAAGGAGGGAAGGAAGGAAGGAAGCAAAGAAGGAGGGAAGGAAGGAGAGAAGGAGGGAAGGAAGGAGAGAAGGAAGGAAGGAGAGAAGGAGGGAGGAGGGGAGAGAGGGAGAAAGAGAGGGAGAGAAGGAAGAAAGAGGAAGGAAGGAAAAAAGGAAGGAATGAAGGAAATAACCCCAAATCTCATGCTTAATAATATCCAACAAGACAATGGATCAATAAGCTACACTGTCACAATTTTACAGCTCAGTTGGTAAGCTTGTCTCAAGGTAGTATTGGAAGGCAAAAGGTGAAGATTTTATGGCCATGTCTATCAGACCTCATCTGAAATCCCATAAGAGCTATGTTCTCATCAACCAGTGACTGCCATGATCTGAGTGCAGATGGCCCCAGCCTCAATGATGATGGCCATAGTGGGTCTGTCATTATGTCAGTGCATGGGCTTTTCTAAAACAATAAGTCATCTACTAGGGTTTTTTTTCTTTGTTTACTTCTATTGGAAAGCAAATGGGCTCAGAGTATGTTTCAAAGGATCACAGCCTTAAATAGGGGTAAGGTGAAAGGGAACTCACTATCTTGAATCAGCTTGATTTGGACATTCGGCCAGCACTGATATCAGATAATCCATTGCAAGCCTTAACCTTCAGCTAAATGCAGGAACAACATGTTTAGATACAAACACAGCACCTTGGAAGGAGAGTGTGAACATCTGAGGGTAGAATATTAATATTGGTAGCCAGGATTCCTGAAGTAAGGTATAACTTGAGAGGTCATTTTGGGAATCCCAGCATATCAGAGCCAATGAACCTGGGCCTTGGAGGGTATGAGTCACAGGAGTTGGCAGTCAGAACCTAGTTAATACACCCACTGAGGAAGAGGCTAGGACCACTCTTGAACATCTCAGGCATGTGTATAGGAAGGAGTGATTATCGCTGTCTGAGATGGAGAGAATTGAGAGTATCCATCTCAGTTAGGACCTTTGCACAAGGAATTGAGCCTTTGGTGAAAGACATACTTTCTTAAAAACAAGTCCTAGAAGGATGTGTGTTAAGTGTCCAGAGGACAGAGCTGTAAGAAACTAAAAGAAGAGTGAAATGGAAAGGAGAGCTATCATATACAGGGGCTTTTGAAAAACCTTTAGCAAGGATGGGGAAAAGATACTTCCCAGTGGTGCTGGAGAGAAAGGCAATGAAAACCAGCAGAAATACCTTCTGCACTGGCAAGAGATCAGTCATAATGAAGGCAATGGAAATGCTCAAGCTCTAGCTTCTACTACCTTAAAGCCCAGGCCACAATGGTCTCAGTGGGCTCACACAGGATAAAAGGACTGACCAACTCCAATAATGCCATCAGTGGAGACTTTTGTCATATTAAGAGCAAGGATGGAGGCAGGCAGTTCCACTTCTGCTTAAGATATAGAAAGGAGCGAGAGGATTTTTGAACAACAACAACAGTAAAGCCAGATATATATATATATATATATATATATATAAACATATATGGTTATATATATATATATATAACATACATGTTTATATATATATAACCATGTATTATATTCATATATATACAACCATATATATATGTATAACCATACATATATACATATATATAAAGTTAGCCTATAAGAAACTTGCAATTGCAAAACCACCCTTTGAACTGAATTTCAAATGGTACAAAACCACTCCAAGGAGAGACAGGATGCAAGAAGTGTTTCTGCTCTATGGCAGAGCATGGATCAAAAGCAGGTGGTAGTTATTAAAGTGGGTAAGAAGAAAAAACCCTGGAATTTTAACAATCTTAAAGGTCAGATGTGGGCCAGCAGGACAGTCAGGATCCCCGGGCCCTAGACTCAAGGGAGGCCACATCTACTCATCAGCTCTTCTCCACCAAACCTCCACTGGATGGAGCAGGAAAAAGAAAAATATAAGCTACCATCCAAAAGTTATAGGAAAATATCAAAGATGTGTGTACCCAATAAAGGATATGTATCAGGTATACATAAAGAAAACTTACAAACAACTCATTTTTAAAAATACAGAAAGGACTTATTTTTCCAAAGAGGAAGACATGTGATAGGCCAATATGCACATGAAAACATACATGCTCCATATCATGAGTCATCAGGGAACTGCAAAGTAAGGTCACAAGGCAGTACACTAAACCTCACTAGAATGGCTAAAATCAAAGACTGATGTTACCAAGTGTCACTGAGAATCTGGCAGGCAAAATCTGCAGCCACATTGGAAGACACTTCGGCAATTTCCTATAAAGTTAAACATATGATGTTAAGCCCAGCAATTCCACTCCTAGACATTACATAAGGGAGATGTAAACCGTGTCCATACAAAGGTCCATATGTGAATGTTCATTGAAGCTTTATTCATAATAGCCAAAAAATTGAAACTCTCCAAATGTGGATCAGCTGGTGAATAGATAAACAAAGTGTGAGATATTTACACAACAGAGTACTACTCAGCAATAAAAAGCAACAAGCAACTGACACACACAACAACATGGATAAAGCTCAAAAGCATTACGCCAAGTGAATGAAGCCAGACATAGGAGACTGCGTGCTTTACGATGCTGTTAATATGGCATTCTCGCAAAGGCAATATTATAGGTACTGAAAATAGATCAATGTTTGTCTGGAGGTGGGGATGGGAGAAGGGTATCAAATGCAAAGAGGAAGGTGGGACATTTGGGGCTAATGGAAGTGTTCTATATTTTGAATGGCCTGGTGCTTACATTACCATATACATTTGTCAGAGCTGATCAAACACCATATACCTCAAATGGATAGATTTATTGCACATACTAAATAAACCATATGGTTTATTTAGATACAAGTATGTGCAATAAATCCAGCCATCTGAAATCATTATGTATAAAATCATTATATATATATATGGCACATACTTGTATTTAAATATAGTTAAGGTTTATTTAGATACAAATATGTGCCATACACACAAACACACACACACATACAATGATTTGTTAAATGATGGGCCATGTGCTGAGGAGGTAGGTAGTGGCACTAACCTGTCACATGACTAAACGATGACCTATTGGCAAGGATGATAAGAGAAAATGATTGCCAAAATAACATTATGGCCGGGCACAGTGGCTCATGCCTGTAATCCTAACAACTTGTGAGGCTAAGGCAAGAGAATCACTTGAGCCCAGGAGATTGAGACCAACCCAGGCAACATGGCAAGACTCCATCTCTAAAAATAAACAAATAAAAAAAACAGCCAGGCATTGTGTCATGCACCTGTAGTCCCAGATACTCAGGAAGTTGAGGTGGGAGGATCACTTGAGCCCAGGAGTTCCAGTCTGCAGTGAGCCATGATTGAGCCACTGTACTCAAGCCTGGGTGACAGAGTAAGACTTCAACTCAACTCAAAACAAAACAAAACAAAACAAAAATAACATTATGATCAATTTTAGTACTCTCAGGTGACTGTGCTTTAATTACATGGAGCTAGATGGTATCAAGTGGCCAAAAAATTATCGATCTCAAAGAACTAGATGCATCATTGTAAGGGTTTAGGAAGAATATAAGTACAGTTTTAACTGCAAATAGCTCCATGGTGTGTGGGGGGAAAAATAGATTACATAACATTATATATAGTATGATCCAACTTTTTAAAAGCTTATTTCTTTTTGTGAGATGGTGCACATATAAGCTTAAGCTCAAAGGTAGTTATAAGTAGCTGTTTCTGGCATTGGGTAGAGCAATGGGATTATAAGGAATGTTCATCTCTTGCACTACACTGTACTATAAGGTTTGAACTGTTTTACCTAGAGGAAGCATTGTTTTTATAATCAGAAGAAAAATGATAAAGCAATTTTCATTTTGAAACTGCAGTGCAATCTAGCTTATGACTGTAATGTTGATTTCGTACCTCTCTTTAATTGTTTCAGGTGTATTGGTTTTTTTCTCTCTAAATAAACTGCAAGTTCCAGCAAAGGCATTCTCTATAGTGGGACAAGCCAGGCTGGAATTCTGTTTCTTCCACAGATGAGCTTGGGGACCTTCGGCAAATTGTGAACTGGTCATATTTGTTCTCTGGGCTCAAGTGTCTTCATGTGTTGCAAGTTCCATCAGATATTAGTTATTGTTATTAATAATATGATCTCTCCTCTTAAGTCTCTATTATGCTCAGGCTCATACTAGCAGATTAAGAGATTCTTGTTGGTTTTAATTGACCCGAATTAATGACCCTATGTACACTATACCTCAGTCTGAAGTCTGACAAGACACTTCTGACAGTCAATTCTATGAGTTCTTACATAGAAAAAAGTGGCAGGTGTCTCCCATTACACTCTCTCAAACTCTGGACTGGCTCCTCTCTCTGGAACATCGTTCCCTTCCTTTGTCCTCTGCCTCCTACT
The DNA here is from genome assembly GCF_000001405.40 of Homo sapiens. Classification (NCBI taxonomy): domain Eukaryota; kingdom Metazoa; phylum Chordata; class Mammalia; order Primates; family Hominidae; genus Homo; species Homo sapiens. The sequence continues at coordinate 85,740,584 of NC_000010.11, forward strand.
CATCCTTTCAATATCATTCTAGAGATTTTTCCTTGTACCTCCAGGAAGTACAAGGTAGTTATAAGTAGCTGTCTCCCTTGGGTGAGCCCATGATATCCTGACCATACCCCTGTGGAAATGCCTTTCATAATATATTAAAATTTTACATCTATCTGTTCACAAATACACTGTACTTTTTTTTTTTTTGCAATGGAGTCTCGCTCTGTCACCCAGGCTGGAGTGCAGTGGCACGATCTTAGCTCACTGCAAACTTTGCCTCCCCAGTTCAAGCAATTCTCCTGCCTCAGCCTCCCGAGTAGCTGGGATTACAGGTGTGTGCCACCACACCTGGCTAATTTTTGTATATTTTTAGTAGTGACTGCGTTTCACCATGTTAACCAGGCTGTTCTCGAACTCCTGACCCCAGGTGATCCACCCACCTCAGCCTTCCAAAGTGCTGGGATTACAGGTGAGCCACTGCGCCCAGCCCACATAACTTTTTGTTAAGGCAGAGACCATCTCTTCTTCATTTTGATTTGCTCAATAAAATCTTGTTTGAAAAACTAATAATATTGATCATCTTCTGGGTGCTTCCTCATTAAATGGCTGGAATTTCATTCTTTTCTTAGACTCAGGGTCCCAGATTATGCCTCATATTTGAAGCTCTGCAAAAGGTTTTCTCACTCAGTGCTGATTTACTTAGAGTGGTTGAAAGTTCCTGGGTTGGATTTTGTCTTTTGCATGATTTTGTGTTGGAAACTTACTTTAAGACTTCTAGTCATGGTAAAGTATTTGAATAATAAATATATATTTTTTTAAACTCGCTTGATATGTCTTTACCACTAGGCCCCTGTTAGTGTGTGGTCAGTGGGCCAGGAGCATTGCAGCATGTCTCCATCCCACATCTACTGAATTAGTTTCTGCATTTTGACAAGAGTCCCAGAAGAACATAGGCACAGTAAAGTCGGAGAAGAACAGTTTCTATATCAGGGTACCATCATTTTTTGCTTGGGACCTTTATGAGCTGCCTTAACTATCCTTCAGTTTCTTTTTTATGCACTCCCTATCTAAGCCTCCCTCAATCCAGCTGCCAGGTTTCTCTTTTTCTTTAAGAAAATTGCTTTATTTCATTCTTCTCAAAATTCTCAAGTGGTTTTCAACTACAGTTGGGTCCTCCTTTTCATGGCCTGTAAGACTCACCAAGACCTGATCCATGTCTGCCTTTAACCCCAACCATCACACTTTCTACCTCGCTCACTACACCCCACCGACACTGGCCACCTTTCACTTTCTCTTTCAAGCCAAGGTCCTTCCTGATTAGGAACTTTGTGTATATCCTTCACGTTCCCAATAAATCTTATCTCTGACATTCACATCTCATGGTTGGCTCTTTCTCATCTGGTGGGTCTTGCCTGATGAGGTTTAATCTTGATAAAGGCCTTCTCAGGTTCAATCTTCCTAAGTATTTTAATATTTTTAAACACAAGACCTTGCTATTTTCTTCATACTTCTCAAATATTGAAACTGTGAAAAGCACCTTCCACGATAGGGAGGATGTCTATTTTGCTCACCAGCATCCACTAAACATCTGACACACTTTCTGGCACGTGGCATGCACTTAACAAATTATTTGTTGAATCAGGAAATAAATTAAAGAACTAGTTGATGGATAGTTCTTTAACTATTCCATAAAGGACCATGTTTACCATACAGTAAATATTTTAAGTTGTCTGGGCCATATGGTCTCTGTGGTCAACTACTCCACACATTGAGTAGTGGAGTTGGGTTCTAGTAGACTTTACTTAGAAATTAAGCGGCAGGCTGCATTGGGCCCAAGGGCCATAGTTCGTTAATTCCTGAATGTTGATACCTTTATTATATTGTTCCCACTGCCTAGAATGTTCTTGCTTCAATTACATATTTAAAAGCACTACCTTTCTTTCAAGGTTCAATTGTCACTTTAAAAAAATTGTTTAATTGCCCTGTTTTCAGGAAACCCCATTTTATCTCTCCAACTAGAAGTGACAGATCCTCCTGCATCTTTAACGCATTATGCTTACCCATTTTCACGGCACTGATCACATTCATATTTCCCTGACAGTTCCTGCAGCAGATTGTATTTTCTAAAGATGGTTGTGACAATATTCCCCATCCCACATGCTCTTCTGTAATGTGACTTCTCCACCTCCTATCAGGAAGAGAAGTCTAATTACTCTTCCTTTAAATCTGGGCTGAATCTGATGCTGTATGTCTTTGGGACTAGGTCAGAAAGGGCCATACAGTGTCTGCTTAGTTCTCTTGAGATACTTGCTCTAGGACAAAGCTTTTCAACCTGACACTATTGGCATTTGGGGCCAGATAATTATTTGTGGGTTGGGTGTGGGGGCTATTCTGTGCATTGCAGGATGTTTAGTGGCATCCTTGACCTCTGCCAACTAGATGCCAGTAGTGCCTCTCCCCCGACTCCCCGGCCCCCCACCAGTGTGATAACCAAAAATATCTCCAGACATTGCCAAAAACCCTTGGAGGATAGAATTATGCAGCCCCCCCCCCCACCACCCATTGAGAACCAATTATCTAGGAGAATCCAGCTGCCCGCAAAAAGTACAGTAACCCTGAGACCACCATGCTGGAGAGACCACCTGTGGGTCCCACATGGATCCCATATGTGTCCAGCCTTCCAATCACCTCTGCCAAAGCACTAGACATGTGAGTGAATCCATCTTAGACCCTTAAGACAGGTGCATAAACTAGCTGAGTGTCATTGAGTGACTTTAGTTAACATTAGAAGAATCCCAAAGACAAGCCCTGACCAAATTTCTGACATACAGAATCCATTAGACATTTATAAATTATTATTTTACAAAATTTGGGGTTGTCATGCAGTAATAGTAACTTGAAAAGAAGTTGGTCCTGGAAATACAGTGTTACAATAAAAAAATATAAAATATGTGGAATTGGCTTTGAGACTGTGTCTAGGAAGGAAGATAGGAGAACCTTAAGGAGACTTTTAGTGGAACCAAAACTCAAGAAAACTACTGTAGGAGTTTAGGGGAAAATATTGGAAGCTGAAAAAGAAGCTACTTTTGTTATTAGGTTGATGAGAAAGTAATTGTGGTTTCTGCCATTAAAGTCATGGTAAAAGCCACAATTAATTTTGCACGAACCTAATATCTAGTGGCAGAAAATTTTAGAAATTTTTCACATGCAGTAATATGGAAAGTAGAAAATCTATTTAATAAACTGGTGAATCTAACTACTGAAGTGTCCAGGCAGAAATTTGAATGATCCTTTGGTTTCTCTTAATTGCATGTCATAATGCATGCATAGGTGCATAGATAGTTCATAGATTAAGTAAAGAAGGGATTCTGTTTTCAAGCAGAATTTAAATAAAGTATATAGAAGATAGAAGCCAAGATTTGTTGGATTCAAAAATAAAATATTTTTTATTCTCAGTGTTTTCTAGCAGAAAATTCCAAAATAAGAGAGGTTCTCAATGCAAAGATCAACTCCTGCAGACTAGCCAGAAAATGTGGACCCATGAAATGAAGGGTATACCTGTAAACCCTTTCTTAAGACTTCATACATATTTAAAATGCTGCCTTGAAGACTTCTCAGAAAGACAAAAGACCTTCTATAGTCTTAAAGATGTACCTCACAGACCTTCTCTGTTAGACAACAGAAATTCTAAAAATCCCTAGGAGCCTGTTTGGGAATTCAAGCTAAAGAAGAGACTGTCAGAAATATTTGCAAGTGTGGCTTTTATCTAATGTGGTCAACAACTGATAAGCTTAATTTTAAAACCCACACAATTTTTAAAATGGAACAGAACAGAGCCCTCAGAAATAACGCTGCATATCTACAACTATCTGATCTTTGACAAACCTGAGAAAAACAAGCAATGGGGAAAGGATTCCCTATTTAATAAATGGTGCTGGGAAAACTGGCTAGCCATATGTAGAAAGCTGAAACTGGATCCCTTCCTTACACCTTATACAAAAATCAATTCAAGATGGATTAAAGATTTAAACGTTAGACCTAAAACCATAAAAACCCTAGAAGAAAACCTAGGCATTACCATTCAGGACATAGGCACGGGCAAGGACTTCATGTCCAAAACACCAAAAGCAATGGCAACAAAAGCCAAAATTGACAAATGGGATCTAATTAAACTCAAGAGCTTCTGCACAGCAAAAGAAACTACCATCAGAGTGAACAGGCAACCTACAACATGGGAGAAAATTTTCGCAACCTACTCATCTGACAAAGGGCTAATATCCAGAATCTACAATGAACTCAAACAAATTTACAAGAAAAAAACAAACAACCCATCAAAAAGTGGGCGAAGGTATATGAACAGACACTTCTCAAAAGAAGACATTTATGCAGCCAAAAGACACATGAAAAAATGCTCATCATCACTGGCCATCAGAGAAATGCAAATCAAAACCACTATGAGATATCATCTCACACCAGTTAGAATGGCAATCATTAAAAAGTCAGGAAACAACAGGTGCTGGAGAGGATGTGGAGAAATAGGAACACTTTTACACTGTTGGTGGGACTGTAAACTAGTTCAACCATTGTGGAAGTCAGTGTGGCGATTCCTCAGGGATCTAGAACTAGAAATACCATTTGACCCAGCCATCCCATTACTGGGTATATACCCAAATGACTATAAATCATGCTGCTATAAAGACACATGCACACGTATGTTTATTGCAGCATTATTCACAATAGCAAAGACTTGGAACCAACCCAAATGTCCAACAATGATAGACTGGATTAAGAAAATGTGGCACATATACACCATGGAATACTATGCAGCCATAAAAAATGATGAGTTCATGTCCTTTGTAGGGACATGGATGAAATTGGAAACCATCATTCTCAGTAAACTATCGCAAGAACGAAAAACCAAACACCGCATATTCTCACTCATAGGTGGGAATTGAACAATGAGATCACATGGACACAGGAAGGGGAATATCACACTCTGGGGACGGTGGTGGGGTCGAAGGAGAGGGGAGGGATAGCATTGGGAGATATACCTAATGCTAGATGACACGTTAGTGGGTGCAGCGCACCAGCATGGCACATGTATACATATGTAACTAACCTGCACAATGTGCACATGTACCCTAAAACTTAAAGTATAATTAAAAAAAAAAAAAAAAGTAATTGTAGTGTCACAAACATGACCAGGTTAGACAAAATGGGTTAGAGACAATGCAGAATAAGAGAGACATTTAGATCCCTGAAGTATGGGAAGGAAATCAGCTGCAAAAAGAATCTACATTTTTTTCTCTCAAAAAGTAAGGATGATTTGGGAAGAATCAAGAGCTCAAAGAGTAGAGTGAAGAAACAAAGAAGCAGTAACAAGTTTTAATTGAGGAGTTAACGACATGAGACATGAATAGCTGGATATGAAAATTGGTATTGACCAGTGATCACTATGTGCTTTCCAACTACTCCTCCTTACAAATGGTAATCCTTATTGCAGTTATCCTATCACTGCCTTACCTTCATATATTGATTGCAAGGGAGTTATATCATTTGTCTCTTTGGATTTAGGTATTCAGGTTGAAAACCATACTTGGGGAGATGTATCCAAGAATCTGTACTCAAAGAGCTTCATCTGTACCTCAACCTGACTTAGATGATAAGATCCTAGACTTTGGGTCAATGGCCTAAATGGTACGAGTCTTTGGGGTCCTTTAGAGAGGGAGTTGAGAGTATTTTTTCCATTCGAGAGGGGTGTGAACCATTATAGCCATCAGAAGCAGGATAGCAGGTTGCATGTTCCAAGTCTAGCAATAACATCATCCTATGCTCTTCTAGAAAGTGACCTTGTCGCTTCCACATTTACATACAAAGCCTAACCTCACCCCTCTCCCTTCAATATTGATTGGTTTTATTTGTAATTTCTAATTGTTGTGGAGGTGACATTTTGTGACTTCTGAGTCTACATTCTAAATGGCCTTCAATTTCCACTTATGACCGTTGCACTGGGGCAAGCCAGCCACCATATAAGAGATTCAACAGCTTGAGATCAGCATGCTGAAGAGGCTACATGTAGATGTCCTGGAAGATAGTTCCAGATGATCTCAGTCTTTCAGTAACTCCCACCAAGGTACCAGGCATGCAAGTGAAGCCCTCTTGAACCCTCCTGAGTACAGCTAAGTGACCTCAGTTAAAGTCACCCATCCAATCCTGCAGAATCTATGATATATAATAAAATAAAACATGATGAATATTATATAAAATAATATAATAAAATTATTGCTCTCTTAAGCTGTTAAATGTTGGGGTCATTTGTTAATGCATCAATAATAACAGTTTCTCATGCATTTGCCTTTATGCTCATCTTAAAAGCCTGGGCTGGTTTATTCCTCTCTGTATTCCCACATCATCTAAAATGCTGCCTCCCATACAGTAGGTGAACTTGTTTACATTCAACAAAGTATTGTCACACATAATATCTCATTTGAGTGTCACCAACACTTTGTGAGTTAAACAGAACAGAAATTTTTATCCTCAATTTTGCTGGTGGAGAGACTTGAGGCTCAGAACGGTTAGGTGATTTGTGTCAATTAAATAATCCAGAGAGCCTGTAAACTCAGAACTTCTGAATCAAAGCCCATGGGGTTTTCCTCACAAAATGCTTCCTATGCACATAGCAGTGACTGTATAGGCATTTCGTTATTTAATGGAGGAAGAAATAAAGGAAAGGCAAGCAGGAGAGAAGAAGGAATAAAAGAGAAAAATGTTCCAAAGGTGGTTAACTTCCACAGTGATGAAATCTCATCTGGACTGGGACTGCTGATGAAGCCCAGAACTTTGACACAATCCTGAGGTCAGCATTTTGCAAGCTTCCATTCCCCTTACATCTTATTTGACATTCTGGGAGCCAGATCATTGCACTGGCACAACCTAGAAACCTCATAGGGCTCAGGCCTCCTTCCTCCTGCCCCTTCCTCTTAGCCCCATACTATAGAGGTTTCTCCAACTGCACAGAAGGAAAATGACTCTCATTCACCCCCAGCACCAGAGTCAAAGAGTTATTCTTACCCAGAAAATGGATATAAGCATAACAATAATAAAGCCTACACCAGAAAGTGATTAGTCTATGTAACCTGGGAGTGATATTAGGCAATAGGAACCAAGAGACAGAGATTTTGAAAGCATTTTCTGTTACGGGATAGCAGAAGCCTTGAGCCCAGATGATCTAGCTACCAAGACAGTGTAAGGGGTAAAAGATGGGTCTTCCCATATCTAATTTTACCTTTCATAGTCCGTAATCAGAAGGTGAATAGTACTTGCTTTCAGTACCAGTAAGTCTTCTTTAGTTTATACATGTAACTCAGATATGAAGATAACCAAATAAATCACCTTTCTTTCTACAACAGTTAAAAGAGAAAATGATCAGTACATTACTTTGTAAGATTAGAGGGGACTCTGTTTCTGATAAGCTTGAAGGCTGTGTTCAGGGAAATGAGTCATAGGAGTGAGGTGCACCTGCCCACCGTGACTGTGTACATCTCAAGGTCGGCAGCCAAGAGTGTCTGCCTCTATGTGGCCTCCAAAGACCCTGGGCTCAGACATTCAAACATTCAGTAAGAACATCTGCAACTGAACTGAAAGAAATGGAATGGAATGGAGTAGAACATTCACATAATTCCACACTGATTGAGAAGCAGTACAGTATAGTGTAATGTGCTTCCACTAAAAAACCTGAGGCTCAAGGGTGAGATTGCCTGAGAAACATCATGTGACCTTAGTCAATTCATGTGACTATCCTATGTTTCACTGTCATCCCCTGAAAACCAGGAGCAGAAGTTCTTAATATCTAACCTCTTCACCAGTGAAATCATATGGGTAAAAGAGGGTTGAGAGCTATAAAACTGACCAAAAATTGATATCGTATTAGCAATATTAAAATAATTATTATCTTTGGCAGAATGAATTTGGGCAGACTTCAGTTTGAATCCTACCTCAATCACATACTAATTATGGCTTTAAGGAAGCTAATTAACCCTTTTTAGCCTCAAGTTTTGTTTCCTTAAATTAGAACACATATTAACATTGATAGCAGGTCCTCGTGAATTTCAATCTTCATCAATGCTCTAATCGCTTTGAAATTTATATTTCTATATCAGGTTTCTTCCCTGAGCTCCAGACTGAAATGGCCAGGCTCCAGCTTGACATCTCCACTTGAATACCTAATAGACAACTCAGAGTCAAAAATTTCAAATATACAACCTTCCATCCCAAAACTCCTCAAACACATCACACACTAATCTTTTATTTTCCAAATATTCCATCATCTCAGTTACAAACACCTTTATCTACCTCATTACTTAAGCCAAAGATTTCAGAGTCATCCTTGATTTCACCTTGCACACAAAAGCCATCTGCTAGCCATGTTTACTCTACTTCAGAACTCTATCCAGAAACTGCACCATATCTATTACTACCTCCCAAATCCCAGCCACCATTATCACCTGGATCACTGAAACTGCTTTGTAACAGATATCCCTATTTTTACTCGGGCCTCAAGGTGACAGGCAGTTACTATTCATCAAATATCAAT